>NC_000012.12:28458906-28611601 GCF_000001405.40 Homo sapiens | reverse complement strand
ACTCTCCTTCAGCTTTAGAGCCCTTCTATTCTAAAACGTTCTCCTTGAGCATCCAAACCACCAAGGGAGGTTCAATTCCTGGCCTAACTCCTAACCAAGCACTTGCTTCTTTGTAATTTTCTGTTAACTTGCTGGTTCCTCTCACGAATCTGAAACCCCTGGGAAGGCAGAGACTCATCACCATGATTTCCCCAACATCCTGCAGAGTATCCAGTAACACTAGGTATCAATTAGTATGTTCCAAATGAAGCATCCCTCCCTGTTCCCCTCAGGATTCCTGTAACTACATCATCAGGAACACTTTCTGCATATAGTATATCTTTTCAGTTCAAGAGTGTTGCAACTGGCTGGTGTCTCTGAGTCACTATGTTTAAGACCAAAACACTTGGACTGGAAGCAACAGGGGTGAAAAGAAGGTCAGTTTAAAACTGTGATTTCATTGTCTGTTAAGTGGAGGAAACACTGTATGTATATAATAATATTTCTTTTCCTCACAGAGTCGTGGTGAGGTTAAATGAGATAACTCACATTCAGCACTTCAGTAGATTACCTGGTACAAAGTAAACAATAAATGTTAGTTTAAGGAATGACAGTATAATAGAGTCTTAGAGATCATTTAACACAGTCTCCTCCCGCCCAGTGCAGGAAGGGCCTTGGCTGAGGGTTGGGCACCCAGCCTATGTCAGACCACCCAATGGGCTTGAGGCAGCCCCTCCATATGTGGATGGTCCTGGTGAGAAAGTTCTTCCTCTGAGAGGGATGAAATCTGCCTTCTTCACACATCAAGCCTACTGTTCTCTATAGAGAAATTGAATTTCATTTTCTTTTTGTTTTACTTGATTTGATCTGTATAAGTTAACATAAAATTATTTCCCTTTCTTAAAAAATTAAAGCAGTATAGCCAAACCCCCCTTTCTCTACTTTGCTTTTAACTGTGGATCCCACTTCTTTGTATGTGTCAACTGGCTAGCAGCCAGCCCTCTGTTTCTCTCCCTTGTCTCTGCCCTTTCTATTTCAAATCTTCTTTGGCTAAATCCGCATTTCCTTTCTCATGTTATATGACTTCTTTTAGGATAGTTTTTACTATGCTAATGGCCTTCCTCTGACTATATCCAAATCAAAATAATCAATGTTAGCTTTTTGCAATGTGTTTTCATTTCTTAAGGGTTTTGCTGAAGTGCCTACCCCTCAATGAAACTGGAAAACAGAAGAAAAAACATCCTCTTCAATACAACCTTGCAATATTAATCAAAATTTAAAATGTATAAATTCTTTGACCCAGAAATTCCACTCATACAGGTACACTAAAATATACATGTAATACACACACATACACATATAGATGTTCACATATTTGCTTGCTTAGTACTTATTCCAGTGCATATCCAAATGTTGGAGTAATATATATCTAGTAAAAAAATCATGAAGTTGGTATATTTGAGTTAATTTGGAAAATTGGCCGAGAGAGATTGTTAAAGGGAAGAAAGCAATTTGCAGAGAAGTATGTATAGGTGACTCCCAGTTATGTTTAAAAAGTTAAAGTAGACAGAAAAATACTTATTTATTGTATTGATATGGTACATGTTTAGAAAACTACATAGAAAACAGTTTTGAGTTGATATATTTGGGAAGAGAGAATGAGGTATGGCAGGAGGATGGGAAGAGAGTTGAACTTTTTTTCATTTAATACCTTTTTATAGGACTTGAATTTTTTTGCTATAAGTATGTATTACTTTTATATTATTAAGTTTATTTAACAAAGACATCACCAACATGGCAGAATAGGAAGCTTCTGACTCTGCCTCCACCCAGAGACACACTAAATTAACATCTATCTATGGATCAATTCCTTTTGACAGAATGTCAGAGATGAGTTGAGAGACTCCTACTCACAGAGCAACTGAGAAAATATACACATTGTGGGTATAAAAAGCTGAAATATACACATCAAATAGGTAAGAGAAGCCGAGGCACACTAGGGCATGGCCCCACCACAGACATGCACCATAATATAGGGAAAGGAGTCCCCAACACCCAGTTTTCCCCAGTGTAGAGGAAGATCTGGATCTCACATATAGGGCCCTGACCCCAAATTTCCTCACAGTTTGACTATTAATTCACCAACTGTTAGGGCAGAAGGAATTAAACACAGCCATGTTCCTTTAGACCCTAGGAAATAAAGCAGCAGTTTTATATGGGCACACAGGCTTTTTAAGGGATTCTGTCCCCTTGCAAGCAGTGCCAAAAAAGAGCCTTAAAAACATAGCTCCCTGTCTCCTTCCAGAAGGGATTTTTAAAACAGCCATCCAGTGGCTAACTGAAGATCTGAACTTCTCACTAATTTATATTGTTGAGTCGAAGAGACAATCATCAACCCACCACCAGCATGGGAGGAAATTGTACTCACACTGAGAGCACTAGATTTTACAACATCCACCTAAGTTACTGCACCATAAATCCTCTAGCTCTGGGAGCAGAAGGGACTGGCATATATAGGTATCTTCTTAGTGGCACGCAAGTACCTCCAGGGACTTTATCCTCCTGGAGCTATGCAGAAAGGGCCTAAAAAAAAAAGAAAAAACAAAAAGAAGGAAACGTAACTTCCTGTTTATCCCCTGAAAAGGTTTAGGACACACATCAACAGCTCTTCAACAACAATAAAATAGAAAGTATAAAACAGTACTAAACAGTAATCATAGATCTAGATAAAGCTGCCTTCTGAAGGACTCTATCCTAAATCTAGTAGCTCTGAGAACAGAAGGGCCTATGCATATGTAAGTCTCCCTTGATCCCAGAACAAATAAGTGGTTTTAAATGGATGCCCAAACGCTTCCAGGGGCTACACTCCCTTGAAGGAGTGCAGAAAAGGGGCAGGAGCATTCAGCTCTCACTTTCTCTCTAGAAGGTGCTTATGACACACAGTCCCAGTGGCTGCTTGATGACATGGTTTCTAATGAACTTACAGTGGGAGCTAACAGGGCACACAAACAGTAATTTTTAATAGCCAGAGCCAGAGTTCAGCACTTCATGAGATCTCCTTTGGGTTCACTCCAGAGATAAATCCAGGCCTGTCCAATCTTTTAGGAAGAAGTTTGATCATGCACAGAGCACCACAACTTCCATAGCCCCCATTTAGGGGACTGTCTCTTTGATGACCTAGCTCTAGAATTCCAGGGGGGCTTTGCAATCCAGAGTGGTCCAAGACAACAGAAAACACAGGTGGATGCATATTGAGCTCGTTTCCAGCAGCTATCCCTCCAGGATCAGAAGGTGTAGCCTGAAAGTGAATACAGATATTTTCCAAAGATCCTCTCCCTAGCTTAGCCCAGAGAAAGTAGGAAATAAACACCTACACCCAGCCCACCCTCACTGTCAAGATAGAAAAAAAAAAAAAAACTGGAACTCACATACAGCTCCCAAAATCACAGCACTCAACCTTTCCAGCTACATCTAAGGAGCATGATGCCTATCATACCAGTCTCAGGTTACTGACAAAATGTGGCACACCCTAAGCCCCAGGGGGCCACAAAAAACAGAGATAGCAGTCTGGACAAACACAAAGATTTGGAATGCAACTTAAAATCTCTAGCAGCATGGATTGGTGAATCTTCTTCTCCACAAGTGCAGTCTAACAAGATGGAAAAAGGTAAGTGTCTTATCTAATGTGCAGAAACCAACACAGATAATCAAGGAAAATAACCAGGGTAATATACTCCAAACAAAGGAGCAAGATAAATATTCAGAAACTGACCCAAATGAAGCAAAATTTTGGGACTTACTCTGCAGCTAATTCAAAAACAATGGTCATAAAGATGCTCACAGAGGTAAAGACAGCAATGCAGGAATAATATGAGAACTTCAACAACAACAACAAAAAATAGAAAGTATAAAAAAGTGCTAAACAGTAATCATAGATCTGAAAAATGCTATAACAAAACTGAAAAATTCATTTGAAGGGTCCAAAATGGACTAGATTAAGCAGAAGAATCAGAGAATCTGAAGATAGATCACTGAAAATCTTCCAATCTGAGGAGAAAAAAGAATAAAAAGGAGTGAAGATAACTTAAGAGACTTATGGGACACCATCAAGCAGAACAACTTATGTATAATTGGCATGCCAGAAAAAGAAGAAAGAGAGAAAGGGGCATGGAGAGTATTTTTTAAATGATGACAGAAACTCCCCAAGTCTCAGGAAGGAATTAAAAAGCCAGATCCAGGAAGCCCACAGAACACCAAGTAAGATGAATCCAGAGAAGTCCACACCACAACACATCATAATCAAATTGTCAGAAGTTAAAGACAAAGAGCAAGGGGAAAAGCAAATTGTCACATGTTGGGGAACCCTCATGAGACTATCAGTGGACTTCTCAGCAGAAATCTTGCAAGCAAAAGGAAGTTGGATAATATAATCAAAATCCAGAAAGAAAAAGAATGATAACCAAGAATATTATATCCAGCAATAGCAATGTTCTCTTCCAAAAAACGAAGGGTAATAAAGACTTTCTCAGACAAACAAAAGCTGAGTTTATCACCACAAGACCTGCATTACTAAAAATGCCAAAAGAAGTTCTTCAAGCTGAAGAAGAGAACACTAGTAACACAATCATATGAAAGTAAAACACTCAGCTGGGCACAGTGGCTCACGCCTGTAATCCCAGCACTTTGGGAGGCCAAGGCAGGCAGATCACAAGGTCAAGAGATCGAGACTATCCTGGCCAACATGGTGAAACCCCGTCTCTACTAAAAATACAAAAATTAGCCGAGCATGGTGGCACATGTCTGTAGTCCCACCTACTCGGGAGGCTGAGTCAGGAGAATTGCTTGAACCCAGGAAGTAGAGGTTGCAGTGAGCTGAGATTGTACCACTGCACTCCAGCCTGGTTGACAGAACAAGACTCCATCATGTAAAAATAAATACATTGTCAAATCCAAAACACTCTAATACTGTAATAGCAGTAGGTAAATAAATAATATCTCCAGGGTAAAGGCCAAAAAACAAAACTATTAAAAACAACCAAAGCTACAATCATTTGCTTAAAAAGATAAATATTATAACAAGATATAAAATGTGACATTAATTTTAAAAACCATGAAAAGAGGGATAATAGCAGTGGAGAGTTTGTGCATGTGTTCAAAATTAAGCTGTCATCAGCTTAAATGAACTTGTTGTAAGTATAAGACATTTTATATGGGGCTCAGGTAATCACAAAGCAAAAGCTATAATAGACACACAAAAGATTAAAAGAAAGGAATGAAGGTATACCACCAAAGAAAGCCATCAAACTACAAAGGAAGAAGGGAAAAAAAGATCTGCACAAAACAACTAGAAAATTGACAAAATGGAAGGAGTAAGTCCATACCTATCAATAATAACTTTGAATGTAAATGGATTAAATTATCTAATTAAAAGATATAGAGTGGCTGAGTGAATCAAACAATAAGATCCAACTCTATGCTGCCTACAAGTAACTCATCTTCTTCAGAATGACCAGTGTATCTGAGGCTAGATCTTTATGTTTCTCTCCACTGTGCATCCATTGAAACTTGTCCTGAGCATGTTTCTAGTATAACATCTATACCAGTGATTTTTTTCACTAATACATGATTCTCAAGTATGGTCCTCAGCCCCTCAGAGTCACAACAGGCTTCTAGATGTACTGAAATGTAACACCTTTCTTCTATTTTTAAGTGCATAGTCTTTACTTTTTCAAATAACTTAGGAATATTATTAATAACAGTAACCATAATAATGGCTATATGTATGATGCCTACCATGCAGCAGGCACATTTCTGTAAGCTTTAATCTTCCCAGCAGCCCAATGGCATAGGAATTATTAACATAAATAACTCAAAAGAGCAGAGTCAGGATTCAAATTCAGACAGCTGGGCTCAAGGGTCTATAATCTTAATGATTAAACAAAACTATCTCTCTGAGATATTAAAATTTAGTACAATTTTTATTATGGGATTCTCTAATTCTTCATTATCACCATTTCCTTTATTTGCTAAAAAGTAGGAACAGTTAGATAATGAGGTTGGCAAGCCTTTTGCCTTTTCTATGTGAGTCAAACCTTTTTGAAAACCACAACAGTAGATGATGAGATGTTTGTAAACAGAGCGTGTCTTAAATTCCTACCTCCAGTGCCTAGCAGAGGGCCTGTCACATAGTAGAAGCTCAGAGAAGGGGCAGAGAGGAGGAAATGAGGACAAGAAGTCTTAGAGAGGAGAGAAGGGGAGGAGAAGGAATAGGGTGGCAGTAGGAGAAAAAGAAAGAAAATTCGAGATGAAAGGGGAAATAATCCTAGCAATCACCACATAGTACAGACAAATATTTGTTGATTGATCCAATATCAGTAACAAAATGACCATAAAGGCAATCTCTGCTCAAGAAAAGTAGGTACTTGGTGTTTAGATTCTATTTGGCTATGACCCCAGGGTCCTCTCATTTAACTTGGATGTCTCAAAACACCTTTTTCATTGCCTTTTTAGATGTATTCTGTCCCAATACGCTAAATGAGGGGAATAGAATAGAAGGTAAGAAGACGTCATCCTGCAAGATGCCAATACCTTGGAATCAGAGTATTTTGAACAAAGTTGGAAATATAATAATTGATTACTACACAGCAAAACTACAAATATAGAGCCATTCCTAGTACTGTGCTTTATCCAATATAGCCAAAGTTTTATTACACAAAATAGCAGAGTAAACTAATCTCATTCTAGACATACATTTTTAAAGGCAAACAAATCACTGCTCCCTTAAAAAAAATAAAAACAATGCCAGGAATCCAGCATTCATGAGCAGCCATAAAATAACAAACCAATGTGGATAGATTTGTTTAAGTGTTTTCAAGGAAACTAATTTATTCCCAGAGCTTCCAAGAGTTTAGTATAAAAAAACAGTGACTACATGTTTTGTGAAAACAAGAAAAAATAGCCTTATGGTGTGTATAACTATTTTCAAGAGGAAGTTACATGGCCTATTGAACTGCATCTTGGGTTGAGAGTCAGGAACTTCAATTTTGTTCTTTCTCAAACACTGTCTGACTGTGTGGCTTTGGGTAAATTACTTACCCTCTCTGTGTTTCCTAATTTTAAAAAAATGAGACTACACTGACTGCACAGAAGAAGTATTGTGTTCATTGAATTAGTGACAAGAAGAAAGAATCATTCAAGTATGAACAAAGAAGGGCTGTGTCTAACCTGAAACACACATTTTAAAGTAGTTGGAAACAGTTCCCTTCATTAGGAAAAGATAATTCGAATAGTTGATTTTTAATGAATTCCAGTTGCTCTAAAAGCCATATTTTAAAACAACCCCAGAAAATTCATAATTCTCTTTTGATATTGAAACTGCCTATTCTTTCACAGAACTTCCACATGAGGATCACCTATTTTTTGTTATGTTCATAAAATTCATAATTCAATTTTGATGTTGTAACTGTGTAATTTTTCGCAGCTTCCACATGAGGATTGCCTATTTTTTTTTGTTATGTTTCCACCATGAGACAGGATGAGAGAGAGAAATTACTTCAGCATCTGTGTCCTCTCTATTCTCAACCAACCTAGTTAACTTTTGAATGCTGACCTATTTATTTATGACTCACAGTAAATAGTCAAATACAACAGAACCTAAGAAATCTTTCAAAATACCCATGAAAGCCCAACTAGGATAAGCTCACAGTGTTCTGTACATACTTTCTGATATTATCTGCTTAGATGTCTGTTGCTCCATTGACTACAAAAATCATCTATGGTAGAGCATCTGCCTTACCCTTCTTTGTACACACAACACCAACAATAACGTGTGGCATATAGAAGATCTTAAATAAATATCTGTTCAGCAAAACTGAAATTTGAGCAGTTAAGTTGGTTTCTTCAAGAGAATTGAATTAGAAATAAAATTCTCAAATTGACAGTTTTCTAACAGAACTAACAATCACAGAGAACAGCTTCAGAAGCTTCTTCTATCAAATCGCTGGATAAGGGAATGTAATGAAGCATAGCTAATTTAATAATTTCAGTAACCTCCAATAACTTTCCACTGCTCACAGATTGTCTAAACTTAGCATGGCATGCAGGGCCGTGCAGCTCTATTACCATCCTCTTCGGATAATAAACTCTCTACAGCTTCACCTCAACAATGCTAGCATTGCTCAATGCACACTTCACTCTGACCACGCTGCACTCTGTGGCCAACACATTTGCTATCACATCAGGTCTTTGTGCAGTCTAGCAACGTTCATAAGGATTTTTAAAGGAAAATGTCTTTATATATGGTAGTCCTTGAAACTGAAATATCTTCTCCCTTTTCTTCCCACATGAACTCCTACTCACCTTCAGGTCTATCCTCTATGAAGTTCTACCAAAACTCTCCCACCCCACTACTTTAGTACATCTTCTACAGGAACCCATATCATTTGTTTATGTAACTGATCAAAGGCAGACACTATGTCCTATTCTTTTTTATGACCCCAATTCTAGCACGTATGGCTTTTATTATGTGGTCATACATTCCTGTAGAATGAATTAATGTTTGTGGGTCCAATTCTTCAAATTAATGTTCTCTCGCTAACCACCATTTTCTGAAATCCATATGTACCTGGGCTTTGGAGGTTAATGAGCAAATCATGATGATATGGGAAGTAGATTTGACTTGTACCACAATAAGCTATCAGAACATCAAAAGCTAGGTTTTCGAGGAAAAGGAAATTAGTCATACAGTTTTGGGTGACAACAAAGATAGACATATTGAAGCAGAATAAGTAAGATTAGGAGGCCATACTGCCTTGTCCCCTTGTGTGAAGCCCCGTGGGCTCTTTTGCAGTGGGTTCCTTGTGCATCAGCACCTAACTATTTTGCAAGATAAATAGTCCTACAGGACACCAGCAGACCGCCAGATGCTTACAAGTTCCTAATACGCAATATAGCTTGGGGAAGAGAACAAAAGTCCCTTATTTATAATGTAGCTTCCTCAGTCTCCAGCCAGTCAGCACCAAAAGCCCAAGAAGCTATACGCTACAAATTCCTGCCTTGGGGAAAACTAAGGATGTCTCCAGGGTCCCGCATGTGCAGCTAGGCTTGGGTTTTACCTGTGAGTGACATTTTCCTCATTTTAATAGTAAAAAACACACCTCTAGGTGGATATTTTACATGTTAATGACACATGCAATTCATGTTAAAGCATGTAAATACTGAGCACATGCTCCAACTGCATGTCCACTTTTGCATTCTTGATATCACCAGTATTTTATGAATATGTATGAATAGCTTGCGTAAAGGGAATCCCTCTTGAGGCACTAGCTGCTGTCACTAACTTTGAGCAGCCCACTCTGCTTCTCTCAATGTGCTTTGGCTTTGCAATACACTTCTTTGCCTACTCTTACTTTGGACTTCCTCTCAGATTCTTTTGTGTGGCAAAGTCAAGAACCTGAAACTGACAATGTGACAAAACTGTTTTACAAAATAGAGCAAGTTTATATTGTTAGTTGTTTAAAACAAGGGACCTCTTTCTAGGATGGGATTGCAAATTATAGGGATTAGTGTTTCTGTAGGAAAGTCTTTCCCAGCATTTTTTGGAAAATTTGTTTTTCCAAATTCCAATCCACAGAAAAATCGTTGATAAACTGAGAAAATGCAGAAAAGCATCCTATTTTTACTGTGAGAATTAGTCACACAGAGACATTGTTTGAAGGAAACCAGCAATGAAAAGTTGAATACAAGAGTGAAAATGGATGTCACATGGTGTAGAAGAAAAAGGTCAACATTTCTAGGAACTGGGACAGGGCTACGGTAAGAGGAAGGGAAGCTAGTTTGGGCCTGAAAGGAATTCATTTGTAATTAAAAAGTGTGCTCTCACTTGTATAGGAAACACCCTGCTTAGGATCATGATACAGTTCCCCTGAAGGACCTTGATAATTAGGTCATTTGATTATAAATAGACACTATCCTAGTTTGTTAGGGTTTGTGAAATAAAAAATAAAAATGGGACACAAAATTGCCAAAGAGAATGAGAAAAGTTCAGTACACCAGCTTTTGGGGGGAAAAATCTTACCCTTTCCTATCCTATAGTAGTTTTAGCAAAGAATGGTTATACATGGCTTCAAGATATCTTTACTGAAAAAGAACAAACTGCATGGCATATTTCCTGTAACTATGTCTTCCCACCATTCTACAGCTCACCTGTTTCTTAGCCCAGGTTAATTCTTTAGTTAATGATTTTTTTAGCTCTTAGTGTTACTTATTTCTTAGTGGACTTGTGCTGTAATGAGCACTGCTTTTATGCAAATAATCTGAGCTTTTTATCTTTTTAATAATATATTTTAATATCTTTTTAATAATAAGTAATAGTGTACATTGATTAGACACCTTCTATATGTCAGACACTAGATTTAGTTACATGTAGGTCCTTATTTAATGTTGACCACAATTCGATGGAGTACATACTCTAATTATTTCAATTTTGCAGAATAGGGCAGTGAGCCCCAAGTACACAGCTTAGCATCCGCCATGATTCAAACTCAAGTTTACCTGATGTCACAATTGTCTCTTATCCACTACACCATATTGCTTCTTGTCACCACAACTCATTGTTGGTAATCTTGTTTTTCCACAGTAAAATCAAATCCATCATGAGATGCTGATGAAAATGTTTGAGAAACCAGATGCAACAATATCTCTGTCAAGTTCAGTTCTCATGTACACCAAAAAGTCATGCCAACAAACCCACATTGAAAATTTCTCTGGTTCTCTTATCTTCTTGAAAATGATGGATCAAGGTGCCGGAACTAAAATGGAACTTAGATATTATCCAATACAACACTTTTAGCTGTATTGATGTAATTTTAGCTGCCTCAGTATCACCTTGAGGCTTGTTCAAACACAGAGTGATGGGCCCCAGTTTCAGAATTTCTAATTTAGTATCTCTGGGTGGAATCTTAAAATTTTCATGTCTATCAAATTCTAGGTGATTTTCTTCTATCAAATGCTGCTGAGTTGAGGTCAATGCTTGATCTGAGGACCAACGATACAATCTCACTTTATTTTCAGGTGAGGAAACAGAGGCCTGGGGAGATGAAGGGGCTTTTCCAAAAACACTTGACAACTAAAAGGCAGAGGTAAAACAGAATCCAGTGTTCTTTCCCCCTCATTATGCCGACCCTGAAAATAACTGATAATAAAAATAACATTGCCTAGAGGAAGTAAGCTCATATACTGCCAGTGGAAGTATGAATTGGCCCACGGCTTTTTGAAAGCAATTAGGCACAATATATTGGGCACTTTTAAATAGTTACACCGTTGGACTTCATCAGTTCAGTTTTAGCAGACTAGCCTTGGGAATATTTAGAGTTCAGTAAATGTTTTTGCAGGAAAAAAAATATATATAATACATATAAAATTTATACATTATATAATTTACATATTTATACAATATGTTTGTTGGGGAGGGTGAAGAAACTTGGCACTAAGATTCAGCATTCTTTTCTTCATATGCTTATAGTAAGAAACATACTGCTCATGGCCAGAGCTGTAGAGCTCACCACTCTCCTGTCCCTGTCTACCCTTTCTTGGGTCAGGGGCAAGTGCTACCGCCTCATGCTATTACATTACTCCCTCATGCTATTACATTCTCTTTCAAGGGCCTACAAATGTCCTTGGCCACTGGACCAGGAATCCAGTGGGGGTTCCAGATAGACTCTCCAGATGTAGAACGAATAATTGACTATTAATCTGCTGGCCACACTCACCAGGAAGGACAAAGAGGCACTAATTCAACCTCCAACCACACTGGCAATGGAGCATGTATCTCAGTGTCTCATCTCACTTTGGATGGACCATGGTCCCTGACTCTCATCCTCCTTATCAGCACCTGGGTGTTTTTTTAATATGTTCCTTAAACATAAACAAACCAACAAAAAATCTCATTCTGCAAATAACACCTGAATATTGTCTTTCACTCAGAAGAGTGCCTATTGAAATTAATAAAAGAAGATTTGCAGCTTTCGTTTTCTGTTTTCCAAGTGAATGGCTTTATGTCTAGTTGTTTGGGATGGTGGATGAAGGATCAGGGAAGGAGGTTGTAGAATGGGAAATGGGGGAGAGATGGATGTTACCGTATAATGAAGGAAGATAAGCACAGAAAGGGGGAAGTATTCTATTAATACTTCAAAATAAATTACAACACAAAGCAAGCTATATGTATATATACTCAAGAGTTTAAACAGCATTGGTGAGTCAAATTAAAGGGCAACAGTTTCTCAGAACTCTGTCTCCCCAGGTTTTTCCCCAAAGGTAAGTTGTTCAACCTCTTCAATCTCCAGCTCATCACCTCCAGGGCCAGGTGTAGGTTTTGTGGAGCTTGAAGGGTATTCACTCTATGAGAGTCTTAAAGGAACATAATTCAAATGACAGTTTGTGTGTGTGTGTGTGTGTGTGTGTGTGTGTGTGTGTGTGTGTGTGTGTATTTCCAGGCCTTGGAAGGGGCCTGGACAAGTAAGGACCCCTGAAGCTTAAGTTTCATTAGTTTCGTGGTTTAGGGTTTCATAAGTTTCATAGTTTTGAGGATTAATTACAGCATTAATCCTGCTTTGCTTTGCCATCTCCATCCCTCCACATAACCTCAACCCAGTTTGAAAGGTACAAATTCAGCTCGCCCAAGTTACTGCCTTTCTCCTCTATGTCTACTGATATTTTTTAGTTATATTTTTAGTTTTTTGGGGTTGCCTTTCTATCTTTAGATAATTTACTGAAGCCTCTATTTCTACTTCTCAAGAAAGTTAGATATAAAATTTAAAAACGAGAGTCCTTACATGCCTTCTCATTTTCCTTCCAGCTCTGCTATCTGAATTTATATGAGCTGTATCAGTACTCTGAAATTATCAAACTTGGTAAGGTATATGTTGCTCTCAGAATCTATAATTGTCTTCCATGATATGTCAATGAAATGATTTTAAAAGCTGAGGACCCATAAACAGCATTGGTAATATTAAGATTATGTAAACATTAAAGGCTGCAGAAATACATCATGTATAAGATGAAACATGGGGGAAAGAACGTAATCCTGTGACACAAAAACTGGACTTTTTGAGAGAAACTATCTCAAACATTTAAATTCAAAAAAAATTATCGTATTTCATTATTTGCTCAAAATTATGCCTTTTTCATTTGCTTTATACTTACATTATAACTTCCTTTTACAGATTCTTTAGCATTTCTAATTTTCTTTCTTTCTGTGTTTCATTCTCTCTTTTTGTAGTTGTCAGGATAATACTATGCATGTAGTAATCACTAAGCACACCGAGCTTCCTAAACATGCTTCCTCACTTTCTAAGTTTAGTTTCTGCGCCTTTTTCTATTTTTAATGGTTTACATACATGACTGTATGTAAACATACAGTAATTTCACTTTCCTCTTGAAGACATCCTACTTAGAACCCTCTGGCTGCCTATTCTGATTTTGAGTGGTTGCTTTCTAGGCCTGCTGCATAATAATCATTCTAAGAATTCTTTTTATAATACTTCTCTTGACACACACATCTTCCTGTTCTTGGATACCTTTTTGGTTTTGCAGTAGTACATTTCCAAGGAAAATTTTACAGAAAGGAGAAAGCAACATTTTCTCAGACCTATTTGAATAGGTCATTGTTTTGTCTTTTAGTGATTGATGATTTCATTGGGTATGGAATGCTAAGTTCAACATAATTTTCTCTCAGAATTATGAAGCCATCGCATCACTAGTTTGAGCATGCAATGTTTCTGAAAAGAAATTTATATTACCTGTTTCATTTTTTTCTACTCTGTAGATTTTGTCATTGGTGTTTTAAAACCTCTGTAGTCTATGTACAAATATGAATATATTTTTCTTTAATTTCTGTTTGGTATAGTGTGCTATCTTTCAATAAAAAGATTCATGCCTTTGTCCAGCCCAGGAGAAGAAGAAATTTCTTCAAAAAGTGTTAAAATTATTTCCTCCCCTCTATTTTCTCTGTTCTTAGATTCTGGAACCTCTCATAGATGTTTGGTCTCCTGAATTAATCTTCTACGTCTCTGTATGTTTATATTAATTTTCTTCTCTTTTCTTTTTGGTCTACATTCTGAAAAGTGTTCATCCAGCCTCCTATTGAAAACTATGAAAATTCTAGTTTTCAATTTGAATAAATCTCTTTGTTCTTGGATTTCCTAATTTATTAAAAACTTATCTTCAGTTTCCTGAGTTATCTTTACTTTCCTCATGATTAAATGCTGTGTGCCCTCTCTTGTGTACTGTTGGCTTTCCTCACCTCTCTTGGTTGCCCATTTATGTTTGGCATAAAGGCATTTGATTGATCGATATTAGTAGCTTGTGCTGATTTGTAGTCTGCTTTCCCAGCAGACCTCCCTGCTGAGTGGAGGGCTGTTCTTGAGCTGTGTGCATGGGTCAGACTTCACAACTGGCTGCACCGGGGAACGGTAGAGTGGCCATCATCTGCCAAACTGAAGATAGATTTGCTATGGCATGTGCACATTCATACCTAAGAACTGGTTATTTCTAGGAAGCTTGATTAACTTCTTCAGAGCATTTCTTTAGTTATGACCTGTGGATATACACTGCCACTGTCAGTTGCCCTGTAAATGCAGAGGTGGGAGAAGAGAATAGTGGAAGGTTAGGCAGATCAGATGTTCCATAGCAGATCTGCAATTAATACCCAATCTACACCAAATTTTATACTCCTGCTTTGTTTGCTCTCTAATACTGTAGGAGAGTGGAAAATGGCTTTCCTCTACCCTTTTAGTTTCCTTGGCTGGGCTACAAATTAAATGGACATTAGATACATTAACAGGAGAAAAACTATATTTAATTATATACATATGCACGAGAGTCCCACAAAATATGACACGCCAAGAGGGTCTCATATTGAAGCTTATACAGCATCCTGAGCTACAGAAAATAATAGAGGCTTGGGGATTCTTGGCAGGGGGTGGCACAAGTTATGGGAGAGTCAGAGGAGGAATTATAAGGTGAATAAAGGTCTTGATATACAGATAAAAAGTCTCTCAGATAATACAGATCGGCTAGAAGCAGCCCTCAGAAGGAGAAGTGCTAGTCTGGGTGTAAGGTCAACCTCTAGTCTCCTCTCCTGTGATCTGAGTTGGTAAGTTTCTGGGAGGGAGATTCATGACCATTGAGATCCTTTAGAGGATCTCTCTCTAGGGAGATAAGGGGAGCTCAGAGAAAGCCTCTGCCTGCATCTGCTCTTCCCCATAGGACTCAGTTCAAAGTAATCAGCATACTAAAGTGTTATATTTTGAGGTAACATTCCCTGAGATCCTTCAATATGAAACTTAGAATTCATTTAGGGTTCAATTAAGGAACCGGATTTTACCTTAGTTGAAGGAGACAGTCTTGTTTCAGTCAACACTTCCCCATTATCTACCTGCTTTTTGTACTCCAGAAATTCTTGTCCTGTCTTCTGATGATTCTAACCTAGTCTCAAATTGTTATGGATTTTCTCTATTTTGTATTTATTTAGTGTTATTTTATACTATTTTGTACTTTTTAAATCTCATTTCAATGATGCTTACAGAAACCAAGAAGTAAAACGTGCCTTCAAAGACTCATTTTCTACAGAGGCTTTAAACTTAAGAAACAAAGCTTTCCTCTGAAAGAATTTAGGACTGTACACACACACACATGCACACACATACAATCAAGGAATAAAATGATTCCGTGAGGTAAAAGGAAGGACAAAATCAGTAGCTGCTTAATAAATACTTGACTGACTGATTCAAATATCCTGTCCAAAAGAAGGTAATAGTTTTGGGATAGCATATGAAAAGAATAATGTGGAAAGCTGTTATACTGTTGGACACCAATTATCTTAAGCCTTTGGTGAAAACCCATGTGTAATGGTTTCTTTTTTTAAGTGGAATTGATAAATGATTTCAAAGTTTACAGAGTATTCTAGCTGATGAGCTAGAACATAGCAATATACTTCTAATATTTAAAACAGGATAGCTTTAACCACTTTCTCAGATTTACCTATCCACATGGTCATGAAAACTTACACAAGGTTTATTGCAAATATATCTTGTAAGTAAAGTTACATGAAGCAATAAAATGTAGTAGTGCTTGCTTTACTGGGCCACTCTGGTCTTTACCAAAACCTACTTTTCTTTAATACAGCAGCTATTAAGCTAGGAGCCATAACTTTGTGTAATATAATTAAATGGTAAAGACTTTTAACATTTTATAGGCTTATAAAATATTATTCCCCTGGTTCTTTGAAATCTGAAAGCAGCAACAGATTGGCAACTTAAAATATTGAAGATTTTTAAAATTAAACACATGGCTTTGAATAAGAACATTAAGAAACATTTAAAACAGCCAAAAATGTTGGCATTGTTTTATTAAGTACTGAAAGCATTGGTTACCTTAGACAAGCAATGATAGAAAAGGTTGGACAATTTCACTTCTGTAACCAATTGTGACACTTCCAAGGTTTTCTTGACTTTCTAGGTTTAGTTTCTGTGCTTTGTCTATTTTTTAATTATAAAATATAACAGCTGGACAGATCATTTACTTATGTCATTTTCTCCCCATCCCTTGATCTTTTCCTCCCTCTCCTCTTTTTTCCTTCTGAAAATTTAAAAAACACAGAGAAGTACAAGGAATTAAATGACAGACATTCTTACTCCCACTATTGACAATTAAATACTCTTAATATTTTGCTTTATTTGCTCTCAGGTTTTTTTCCCCATGAATATATGTTAAAGGAAATCACAGAAGTATATGAATACATCATTTTCTTAAAATAAAATAAAAAAATAAAAAAGTTACTGATGAAATAGAAATTTTCTTTAGCCTGTGTCTCCTTTTCAAGATTCCCCATTTCTGCAATGTAATCACTACTATAAATTAGTGTATAGCCTTCACATCTTTAAAAAATTACTTGTAAATATTTGTGTACATATCCACAGAATAACCATGTTATTGCTTTGTGCATATTTTTAAATTATATGTAAATCATATGTTGTTCATTTGTTATGCAACTTGCTTAATTCATGAACTATTATATTTTTGAGATCTATTCTTATTGCTACACGTAGTAATAATTCATTATGCTTAAATCCTGTATAACAGCCAAATTTTAAATTCAATGGATATAATATTGCTAACATTAGTTTTTTGGTAGACAGTGAGTATGTCTGCTATATCCTTATCCATCCTTTTAGCATCATTTCATCTTAAGTGGGTCTCATAAAGAGCATAGAGCTAGATTTGTTTAAAATCTGGGGTTTCCCACTTTAAAAGAAAAGTTTATCCCTTTTGCATTTATTATGATTCATAATAAATTTTAACCTATTTCTTTCATCTTTTTTTGTTGTTTTTTTTACCATACTTTTTCCTTGTTTCTTCTACTTGTATCTTCCTCTTTCTGTCTTCCAATGGAATAGGGTGTTTTCTTGGATCTATTTTTTCTATTTGCTGGATTTCAATTTAAAGTTTTATTTCTTATTTTTTAACTATTACACAAATATTTAACATGAACTATAGTTTTCATTTTCTTAGCAAAGTCTCAAAATGGGAAGTTTATGGGTAAAGAAAATTTATATTTTACTAGTAAATGCCATCTGTGTTGTATTTGAGGTTTTTTTCTTCTCTGAAAAAATTTAAGCTTAAGAAGAAAAGTTTGAAATTACAGGAAATAATTTGCCAATTGATGTCATTTGTGGGGCCTTTGAAAGACCAAGAGAGTGTAAGTGGGACCTGTTTCCCTTCTTCCCATTCAATGACTGTTGTTGGCTCACTGGGGAAAATAGTTTCCAAATTTTGCTGACCTGATGTGAGGTAAAGCTTATGAATAAGCACTTTTTGTATAAAGCTGTGCTGTCCAATATGTTAGCTGTTAGCCACATGTGGGATATTGAGTACTTGAAATATGGCTAGTGAAACTGAGAAATGCTTTGTACTGTTTTAATTTTTAAAAAGTTGAAGCAATGTAAATTATTTTTATTAAACACAAATTTGTTTTGGCAGAACTATACTTTTACTTCACACATACATTTATGTTATTGTTGTCACAATTTACACAAATTTTTAAACAATTTTTATATTGTGTATTAATAATTACAGTAATTTCAATACTTTTGTCTTTTACACTAGAATTAAAAGTGGTTTACATATCACCAATATAATACTATTCTATATTTGTTTATATACGTATCTTGTCCAGTAACTTTTATAATTTCATATGCTCTGATGTGGCTGTTTAGTGTCCTTTCATTTTAATTTGAAGAACTCCCTTTAACATTTCTTGTAAGGCAAATCTAGTGGTAATAAACTCCCTCAGCATTTGTCTAAGAAAGTCTTTATTTCTCCCTCCTTCTGAAGGATAGCTGTGCTGGGTGTAGTATTCTTGGTTGGTAACATTTTTATTCCCCCAACACTTTGAAAATATAATTCCATCTCCTTCCCACTGCAAAGTTTCTGCTGAGAAATCCACTGATAGTCTTACAGGGCTACTTTATACACAATGAGCTGCTTGTTTCTTGCTGCTTTCAAAATTCTCTCATTGTCTTTGACTTTTGACAATTTAATCATGTGTCTTGGTCTATGATTTTTGATAATTTAATTATGTTTCTTGGCATAGACTTCTTTGGATTCCTCGTATTTGTGTCTGTTAAGCTTCATGAATCTCGGATGACCATTTCCACCATTATTTCTTTAAATAAGCATTCTGCTCCTTTTTCTCTTCCCTTTCTTGAACTTCCATAATGTGTTTGGTTCTTATTCTTTTCTTTTCTTTTTTTGGTCTTCTGGATAATTTTAAATGACTTGTCTTTGATTCTTTGATTTCACTGTTTCTCTCTTCTGTTTAGTCAAATATGCTGTTGAAGACCTCTGGTGAATTTTTCAGTTCAGTGATTCTATTCTTTTGCTTCAGAATTTTTGTTTGGTTCTTTGTTATAGTTTCTCATTGTTGATATTCTAGTTTTGTTCATGTATTATTTTCCTGATTTCAGGCAGTTGTCTGTCTGTATTATAAACTAAGTCACTGAGCTTCTTTAAGACAATTACTTTGAATTTTGTTTCTTTGAGTGGGTCATGTTTCCCCAATTCTTCATGTTCCTGTGGCTTTCTGTTAGTATCTGCGCATTTGAAGAAACTGCCACCTCTCCCTTTTTTTATGGACTGGCCTCTACAGGGAAAGAATTTCATCAATTATCGTGGCTAAAGATTCTGGGAGCCTTTCAGATCTTTTCTATGATATGTCTTCTCTGGATTTGCATGTGTAGATACCTAACTGGGGGAGGGAGAGAGTTACTATGTATTTCATTTTTTTCAAAAGCCAATAATGTCTTGCACCCTCTGTTGTCTGACTGTTGTACCATGAGCCAGGTCATTGGAGGCATACTCTATTCCTCTTCCTCCCTCCCTGAGGATAAATTTTATTTGTGTGCCTTCACCAAATCTTGCTGAAATATGCAGGCTGTGGTAAGCTGCCTGTCCCTTGCCTTTGTTCTTAGCTGTCCCCAGGTATTCAAAGTCTGCCAGTCCCATCAGCATTCCAGGTGAGGTAAAACAGAAACTGGTCCCTCAAGCAGCAGTACAAAAGGCTAGGAACAATGGATTATGTTTCATTCTGATTCTTTCCTCAGGGAGAAGTCATGGACCAAAGAAATCTCTGTCTCAGCACTAAGCTGTGCAGCCTTGGGAGATGGGCTAACACGAGTAAAGTTAATTTGCTCTTCTTATTCATTTTAATGTGGTTTATTCCCAGTTTTATGCTCATCTGGGGTACTGCAATTGCTTAAGTGAATTCTAGACCTCTCACACATGCATTTTGGTTTGTATACTGTTGCCAAATTGGTGTTTTTGGTGGAGGAACCAAGGGCTCAGACTTTCTATTCCACTGTTTTGTTAATAGCACTTCCTTTGGTAGTTCTATATTAAACTTTGTTGAAAATTTAGCATCTGGGTTGACATTTCTAAGGCTTACTATGAAAAGAAAACAATGTAAATTGTTTCAGTAACAATTTTATGTAGTATTTTGCAATGAGAATGTTTTCAGTTAAATAAAATATTTAAAATAATTTTATTTTTTTGTTTTACTTTTTTTAATGTAGTTATTAGAAAATAAAATTATACATGTGACTAACATCATATTTCTGTTGATAATACTGGTATAAAATGTCCTAAAAGCACAAGCCACAAGATCTCTAGCAAATGGAAGCCTCTTCTGGGTACGGGGACGTTGTATGGTTCAGACACTCCCCTCAGCAGCCTCTTTTTGGCCTTATGATTCTCATGTTCTGCTACACCAGTAACACTTATCACTCTGGGGGATGGGGGGAAAAGGCACAAGTCCTGTAAAAAAAAGTAAACGTGTTCTAGGTTTTAGTTATGTTTTATTTTAATTTTTGATCCAGACTTTGGCCTTTAATATGTTTTTCAGTTTGTTAAAGCACTGGACTTTCTATCAAAATGGCAGGAAGAGGGTAAGGGTGGGACCTAAGGAGGGAATAAACAAAACAAAGCAAAAAAACCCTTGGCCCTACTGAGAACTGAGTGGGGGTGTGGCTGGAACTGAACTGGCACCTACTCCTGAAGCCCAGAGACAATGGATCAGGTGGAGGGAGGACAGCCTGGGGTAGAACCCTCGATACTTGGTGGAGGGGAGAATGCTAAGCCAGGGGACTGAATGTTGTTCTTGAGACAGGGTCCAAGAGAGAAGATGCCAGATGTGGCTTATGCCAGGGAATCACAATAGAGCCAAGGAAAAAAATCACAATGGTGAAAGCACCGTAAGTGAGCAGCTAGAGAAAATACAAGGGTGAGGGGGCAAACTAGATGGAGGGTGGGATAGACGGGGCCAGGGGTGTCAGCAGAGGTGTCGTCCCAGAGTTCATTCCTGCTGGGTGAGAGCTTCACTGCATATCCCTCATCTGGGACACTCTGGCTGTCCAGCTGCTGACAAATGTGTTTACTTCCCCAGCCCTAGTATTTAAAGCAAAATCAGCTGGGCTCTCTTAGCAGTGATTGGTAATGTTGAGGTTTTTGGCTCCTCTACATGTATCACACAGAAATCTAGTTTATTTATTTGTTTTTCTTTCCTACTAGCATGGAATCACCTTAATCATCTCTGTATTGCCAGTGCCTGGCACAGTTACAAGCTATAAGCAAGTAGTAGGAGTGGCAGTCGGTAGACATGAATTGGAATTAGGAAGCAACATCACTGAAGGATGTTCTAGTTCCTTTTTTAAAAGTTTCTACAAATTCCTTTTGGAACAATACAAATATTTAAATACTCATATGCATACACATATTGAAATCCAGTATGTAGAATAGTGCCTCCATTTTGGTGTCAGTTTAGTCAATAGGGACCCCACTTTTAGGATGGGGTGGGGAGACTGTTTTCAAGAGCGTTCTTTGTAGATGCATTGTTTACTAACTCGATGGAGCTAAAACTCTTCCAAAGAAGTGAATTGTCCTTATGGAAATAACTGAAAGAAATACACCAAGCTTCTTGGCATAATGCGGCAAGGCAGACTGCAATAGATTAACTCTGCCCTTAACAACAAGTTTCACTGGGCCGATGAGAGATGTTATGGAAAAGTGTCAAGAGAAAGAGTACTCCAGCTTCAGCTGGCCAACAGACCATAGGGTAATCACTGCAATGAAAATACTGAACCAGCACCAAGACTCACAAAGCAGCTTATTATAAGGATTCAATATACAGTATTATGGAGAATCTGGATAGCTGTTGAAATGGGATATTCAGCCTTGCTCTTCTCAGTCCTTGGTTCAAATCTGGAATAAGTTCATTTTGACTAAAATTAGTTGCCAATTGAGACAATTTGGAGGCCTTGGAAAAACAAGTTGGTCATCTCATCCCAGCTACCAGGATAGCTAACCTCACACATGGGGTCTACTTCCCAAGAGTCAAAAATCCTAGCTGATACATGTGGTCATGCTACAGTTTTCCTTTTACAGCAGTGGCAGGAGTCCCACTAATGTTATCTGAAGAATGCGCCAATCGCAAACTCCAGCTCTGTAACCAGAAGAGGCTTCTGTTCTTAAGACTTGAGATTGCAAAAACAAAAACAAAAACAAAAACAACAACAACTCTTCTAAGACATCTAAGAAAGAAGCATGCTGGCTTTGGTAAGTGTAAGCCATAGGGAGTTCAGTTAATTCGTGCAGAGGTTATTTCTCACAGGCCAAGTCTGCCTTGTCTTCGAGTGTAGTTGAGGATTCCAGGGAGGGCCTCCTGCTTGTGTTATGTCCTCCTTCCAAGGACCCTCCTCTACCCTTGCTTATCTAGCGTATCTGAGTGTTCAGAGCAAAAAGAATAAAATTAAGTCACCAACGTTTTCTACCCTTCTCCATCTGTTAGAAAGGTCATTGTCTGCCAGCTGTCCAGCTGCCTACACCCTTGTTTCTCAGAAGGTTAGGACATAAGAGGTTATCATAAAAATGTCTATGAACATTATGGCACATGAGGCTGCTGAACTTCCAGGAGGCTTCTGAGAAACACGGGGACCCTCTGAGTATTATTAAGCCTACAGTCCAGAACTTACATACATTGTGAACTCAGACTCTTTCCTGCATCGCCTCAGCCAGAAGACTGGAGTAGTGGGTAGAACCAGAGAAATGCCTTCCTCCACCCACCTCCTGGCTCTCCCTGCATTCACTGCCATCAGTTGGCATCTTGGGACTCTTTCTTGTGGCTTTAGCTCCATAGTGTATCTTTTTCACACTAAATCCTTTCTGAGTGTAGTCTTCTAGTTATCCAAAATCTAGGTTGATACATGTTTTTAGGATGGTGCAGCCTGAAGATGACATAGGAGTGGGCAGTCACACCATCTACATCCCTTCAGGCTTCTGGTTTTCTCCTCCATCTGTCATCTTCTCAAGCCAGAGTCATTGAAATAGGAGAAAAGCACCTCTGCTTTACCTAACCAAGTAACAAGTTAGCCGGCAGAGCCACAAACATTGTCAGTTGTGGGACATCATCAAAGGCAATTTTAGACAGCAGAGAGGAGGAAGAGTACAATTTTCTGTCTATTATTGATGTCTGTTCACTTGCTTTCACAAACCAATCAGGAATCAAATTCATAGATAAAATAATCTACCTTTATTCACAGAGTAATAAAAGAAGAGTAATTTTACTTAATCCTCATGGCTGAGAGAGCTCTAAATGTAGCCTGATAGAAATGCCAGTAATTATGTTTTACTGGCAGTATTGCCATTGTTGACATGCTTTTATAAAATTGTGAACTGCGTTCTTAAGTTTTGATCAAAACAAAATATGTTCTTCTACATTAGATGCATTCTTTGAATATTCAGTATATGTCAAAGCTGTGCAAAAGATACTTCATGTAGATCTTTAAAACAGAGTTAGAGGCCAGGCATAGTGGCTCACTCCTGTAATCCCAGCACTTTGGGAGGCCGAAGTTGGTGGATCACCTGAGATCAGGAATTCAAGACCAGCCTGGCCAAAATGGTAAAACCCCGTCTCTATTAAAAATACAAAAAATTAGCCGGGCGTGGTGGTGGGCACCTGTAGTCCCAGCTACTTGGGAGGCTGAGGCAGGAGAATGGCGTGAACCCGGGAGGCGGAGCTTGCAGTAAGCCGAGATTGTGCCACTGCACTCCAGCCTGGGTGACAGAGCGAGACTCCGTCTCAAAAAAAAAAAAAAAAAAAACACACACAAAAATTAACCAGGCGTGGTGGCGGGTGCCTGTAATCCCAACTGCTCAGGAGGCTGAGGCAGAAGAATAACTTGAACCTAGGAAGCGGAGGTTGTAGTGAGCCGAGATTACACCACTGCACTCCAGCCTGGGCAACAGAGCCAGACTCCGTCTTAAAAAAAATTAAATAAAATAAATAAATAAATAAATAATAAATAAAACAGAGTTAGAGTCTAGGCTTGGGTAATTATGAACAGGGTTTTCACCTTTGTGAATGTCCAGCAAGGACTCAAAAGTCTTCAGGGATGTGGGACAACTACCTGTATTGCAGAGTTGGGTGGTGCAGTGCAAGGCATCCAGCAATTCTGCAGCAAATGTGGAGCCCGGTAGCATCTTTCCAGCCTTCTAACAACCCCAAATGCCCCACCACTCCTCAAAATACCATCCACAAGATGCACTGAGCTAGAATGTCTATCCAGGGTTTTAGCTCCTGGTGAAGCTCTGTGGTGTGCCCCTCCATAATTGATTATAAATGCTTGTTCAGTGTCTGCCATGGCCACTAAATTATAAGTTCTCGGGAGCCCGGGCTGTGTCTCTCCTGCTCACCACTTTATGACCTGACATGTCCTAGGCACTCAATACATATTTGCTGGATAAATCAGTGAGGAAATAAATGAATGGATGAGTAGTGACAGCCATCAGATCTGCATTAATTTATAAGCGCAGCCTAAGTCTATATCACAATGCTTCAGGAAACTTGCCTTCAAAAAATATTTTTCTTAAGGATTAATATCTACTCCCATTAGGTTTAATTGTAATAACTTCCATGGTATCACACATGGACGTAAGAAAACTCCTACCTCAATATTTGAACTTTCAGAGCCATTTCTTGGGTAGCACAACGTGGCTTTGTCCCAGAGCCAATATTTAGAGGAAGCATAGAAGGCTTGCCTCAGAGATCCCAAATCTTCCTCTTTCCTGCCCTGTTCCTTTTCCTTGTAGCTGCGTTTGATGCTCTCTGCCTGGAATCTTGCAGCAGCAAGTCATATCTCAGAGAAGATCACGTGTCATTTGTAATATTTGGATCTGAATTTTGTTGGACTGGGGGCAGGAAGTCTGGGTTTTCATTCCAGTTTTGCCATTACCTAACCTAATGAAATTTCACTTCTCTAAGTCTCTGTTTCATTTATGAAATGAAAGGATGAGACTACAAGTTTCTAACTGTTCTTTCCAGCGCTGATGTTTAGCATTTCAGTGACATTTTAAAATTGAGAATAAACAGAGACAGGTAGGCCCAAAGTTGTGAAGAATTTAGAACATGGTTTTAAAAAAGGTAATGGTTGGAAATTGGGCTTTATCTAGTCAAGTGACAGAATATCCTTGGAATTTCACAGAAAAATAAAAAGGAGAATGTGTCTTCATAGATTGTATGGTATCCGTAAAGTGAACTTGACTAATTTATTTCTTGTCTCTAAAGAATGGATTATATTTCCTTTGGCAGTAGTTCGCAAATCTGTTGCATGGTATATTCTTATTTTCAATGTTTAAAGTAGGCCTTAAAAATAGGTTCTAAGTGTCCAAAATTCACACCACATTATGATGATGGCTGTTAGCTATCAGAAATGAGAATCCAGAAATCTCAATGCCTATAATAGCAAGTAATAATTATCTTCCTTGTAGAATCCTCAAAACTCTTAGCTTCAATGTAATGATTATTCACCTGCTATCTCCATCTTGTTTAGGCCTAAGCACATGCAAGATTAATACTGAGATTTTTAAAGAGGTCTAATTTGGGGATTCTAAGATCATCCTGTAGTTAGCACATGAAATCAGGGAACTGCTTTTTCTGGAGACAAAGGAATTGAAAGGCATTCTTGTGGCTACAGGATTTTATCTTAGCAGCATCAGGCTTTTGCTAGCATTGCTTTTAGAAGAGTTATCACCTACATTGGGGTGAGTGCTAGGTGGTTTACACGCGTCATTTATTTAGCTCCATTGGGAGACAGAAGCATCCTAATGGCCTCCCTTGGGGATCAGGTTGGGCTCACTCCCCAAAGCATCTTCAGGTGGCTACAGATCAGTTTCCTCCCAGGTGCTAAGGAATACCAGGGTTGCATGAGAACTGTGTCCATGAAAGGGAGTGAAGTCCCGCATGCCTTAGCTAGCTATAAGCCATACCACCATACCACACCAAGAACAGCCTGACCTTTTTTAAATTTTTATTTATTTTTATTTTTTTAAGTCTCATTCTGTCATTCAGACTAGAGTGCAGTGGTATGATCTTGGCTCACTGCAACCTCCGCCTCCCAGGTTCAAGTGATTCTCCTGCCTCAGCCTCCTGAGTAGCTGGGATTACAGGCATGTGCCACCATGCCCGGCTAATTTTTTTTGTATTGTTGGTAGAGACGGGGTTTCACCATGTTGGCCAGACTGGTCTCAAATTCCTGACATCAAGTGATCCACCCACCTCGGCCTCCCAAAGTGCTAGGATTACAGGCAGCCTTACCTCTTACACTGAAGGAATCAAAGAAAGAACAGAGAATGTTGATTGTTCCGCTTTCTTCGTGCACCTGCCATAGGACCTGGAGCTGAGCCAATGGCAGAGAATTCTACTCATAAGCTTTATCATGCTTTGATGGCTTGAAATTAGGTATGAGAGTGGGAGATAAAACAGTGTGTTGTGGCCGTACAGGGCCCAGGGTTTTGGATGGCACTACTCAGTTCCCAATTCCAACAGCATTACCCAAAACTGTGAACATTTTAATACAGAGCAACTTAGAAAACCCCTGGAGGCAATTTAAAAGCCCCACGCCAGAATCTTCTTCTCCTTGAAAGCAGAGTTCATGCATTTGCTATAGCCCACAGAATGTAGACAGTTGGGCCATTCCGTTCTAGGTTACCAGTGTCTGGAGAAGAAAGACCTAGCAGGAATCATGGAATGAGCATGGAATAGGCTTTTGCTCCAAGTCCTCAAAAAAAAAAAAAAAAAAAATGGACACAACCAAGGCCACTGAAGAGCTACAGCAACAGCCTCATCCCTCTCCATTAAAGTTTTTAAAAACTTAACATAGTTTTCATTTTTCAGTGAATACCAGCCATTAAGTACATCCATTTCTAGCTTAAAGGCAGTGCTGAAGAATAAGCAGTGGCAATATTTTCAAGAAAAAACTCAAGGTCTTAATGCTGTCCTTTTCAATTTCTTCAGAACAAGGTCCTCAAAGCAGCCACCTGATTGCAACAAGCCAGTGGTTCTATGCAAGTTCCACAGAGTGACCTTCACAGAGGATGTCCGTTGGAAGGACTGCAGGTTGAGCTGACAGCATGTTCGGGGTGGCATGCATAACTGAAGACTCCGGAGGTTCACCAAGAGCTTAAAATTTTGTGTTAAAATTTAATTTCGTATTTTTGGAAAAATAACTCTGTCATATTCCAAGGAGTTCTGATATTCTACTACAGTTTGTCAATCCGCAGCAGCATGTTTATGCCGGCCTGTTTTATAATTAACTGTTTAAGCATCTCCTCTAAGATCATAGGACTTGGGGTTGTGAGATCCCACAGACAACATGTTCATCTCCACATAAAGCTGTGTTCAAATGGTTTCAGACTGATGGATATCAGAATTTTCCTCTTGCTACAAGAAAGAGTTCCAAGATGGAGACTAAACAACATCCCCTGGTATCTCATTCCAAGGGTTGGGGAAGTTCTGTGCCAGCAAACCACTTTGTGGTTGCATTAGATGCTCTCTGCCGCCTGTGGTTAGCTGGAAGTCAGTTTACCACAGGACTTTTATCACCCAGCAGCTGCATTTAGCTTTCTGGGTGACCCTGGCTCACACTCCAAACCAGACAAAAGCCCTGAGGGGATTTTTAAGGATCATCCAGAAACCCTCAGAAATGCAGGGAGTCTATGCCACATCTACAGAAACAAGGAAGATTAAAAAATAAAAAAAAAAATTTAAAAAGTGCCATGATCACTTTGGCGTCCTCTAGAGGCAACTTTCTTCCATCTTGTAGATTGTGAAACAGAACATTCGGGGGAATTTCATGTCAGTACAGAGACAAACATCTTGTGAGCGATTTCCTCATATGACTTACCAGTACCCTTTCCTACATTCTTTTTGTTGATTACTTTACATGACCACATGATCCCTTTTCTCATGGAAACGTCATCATAAAATCCTGTACCATGGAAAAAGAAACCAACAACAACAAAATTAAAGCCAGAGCTTCGATTGTGTCTATCAGTTCTGTTTATTTTGATGCAAGCCTTGAAGGTAGCCCTTCAGTCATCCTTTCTAAATGCTTCCCATTCACAAACATGTGATTTGAGTTGGTTTCATCCCCCTTTTAACAAATGAGGGAAACTCTGATAGGATGTATTATAATCAAGAACATGGTATTTATACCATTTAGACCATTTATACCATTATAGGTCTGACGGCCTATAATTCTCAACACCACCACTTCCTGTCTTTGGGTAAGTTACTTAACCCTTCTGTGCCTCAGTCATCTCAAGTGACAAATGAGTAAAATAAGAGCACCCTCTGCATCACAGTGTTGTGAGGATTAAATGAAATAATGCTCATAAAGCACATCAGCATCCTTCATGTTTATCTAGTATTTCTAGGGACTCACTGGAGTAGAGGAGAAAAGATTCAGGAGTCATGTAACAAAAGTACCCACCTCATAGGGTTGTTGAAAGCAGTAAATTAGTCAATGAAGACGAAACACTAAGATAAGGCTTGGCATGACACTTCATAATAAACACTATAAACTACTTGCTGTTGCTGTTGTGGTTATCTTTATTTTACAGTTGAACAAACTAAAACATACAGAGGTTAAGTAACTTGCTTGGGAACCAGAGAGCCTGTAGGCTATGGCATCAGGAATTAAAAGCAGGCACTGATTCCATGACCCATGCGCTCTACCATTATTCCTTCTCTATGTATAATAACGATTATATCGTTATCATTTTGACAACAGAGAAAAGCTTCAAGTAGGCTTACTCACTGTCACCTTAATGAAGAGCAGTTTCTAATTCACCAGCCTGCTAAGTACATATTCTGTTGCAGGAGCATACTGAATTAAATCAGTAACAATTTAACCACCCATTAACCATTCTTCTGGGAGTATAGGATAGAAATCCTTATCTGTTTTATAGTAAGATGCTATTTTCCTGCTGCTACACTCTTTCAGTTGATCAGGGAGAGAAGAAAAAGTGTTCTCGGGGAGTCTTCTGGCAGGCGGAGGTGAACCAAGTCAAATGCCCTGGTGATCTCTGACCTTTCTTTATCAAAGACTCTAGACCACTCCACTTTCTGATGGCATGATCAGGAATGTCTAGCATAGGGAATGCTTCCTGCTCCTCCCAGAGGTGTCCTGAGAATTTTCCTAATTTCTTTTGAACTTAGATAGAGCCATTCTATGCTTACAATTGTTAGCAACAATTGTAATCCCTAATTGCAATTATAATTGTAATATCCTGTTCTAATAAATCCCATTATAATAAATGTGGTCCCTAATCTCGTTATAATAAATGTGCTCCCTGATGTATGGTTTACTTCCATGACCTTTTTTAGCATGCTACCAGCTCTGCTATCGAAGCTGCTAAAGCTCAGAGCCTTCCCAGGTTAAGGATTTCCCATTGATTTTAGTTTCTGAAAACAAATTTCCAGTGGGCCAATGAGGCACTTACCACCAGATCATTTCCATTGGTGAAAAGTTGTTTCTATTCAGCTTCCTACCTGCAACTGCTGAGGCTATGGAAACTCCAATCTTTTTGGTCATCTTATTTTCTCTGAGGGCAGAGAGCGAAAAGGAGATAGTTCTTTGTTCTGGAGAAGACACGTTCTCCTTAGACATTTTCTAGCTATTGAAATGTATTTTAAAAATACTGACTTTTTATGTTTTGAGATGCACACAAATATATATTTAACAGTGAGGCTTTCTTTGGATGTGGTGCCCAGATGCGTGCCTTCCTCTGTGCTCAATTTGACTATGAGTACATTGTCCTATCCCCTGGTTAGACCAAGTGATAAAATATTTCATCAGTTAGTTTACCCTTCTATGCACATGCTATACAGAGGAGAGAGGCCATTGGTACCGAAGTAAAATCATCTGAAAAAAGCTTTCCTTGGAAGTACTATCTAGACTAGAGAAAGACATTTTAAGTTTGAATATTCATTTTGAAGACTCAAGTCATCATTCTTAGCTGGTCTCTATTAACATTAAAAGCAGTGAGACAACAATATAATGCCACTGACTTTTACTGTGAAAAGCTCAAAGTTCTGTATGTTAGGTCTTAGATGGTCTCTCAGGTGTGTTATTGTTTCCAATAACAGATAGAGAAACTGGATTTGCAAAGATATAAAGGGCCCCGGACAAATCATTAAATGGAGACAGAAGAAAACAAATTTCTCTCACTATTCAATGCTTTGCCTTTTAATATACAGAGTAATTCCCAGTATAAGGTTGGTAAGTGCAGCTACAAACAATGTAATTACCCCTTAGGGAACATGGATACAAAATATAAGCATATTCATTGATTAATGAATGTCACTGAGTACTCAGTACAAGCCAGGTGTTGCTCCAGGCAGAAGGGAGTGAAGTCTCTAACCCACCAACGAGTTTACACTCTGGCGGGGGAAGACAGAAGACAAATCAAAATGTCCTCCCGCCACGCAATCACACATTCACCTAGACCTTATTATGAAGTTTGGTGTAAGTAAATAACTGGGGGTGACCTGGAGAAGCTAGTATATTTATATTGGGAAGAGAATGGGAATTAAGGTTGGGAGTTGAAAAATGAGAGAAAGCTTCAGAAGATACAGGAGTGGTGGATACAAAAAGTGGTGAAGTTAAGGGAGAATGAATTTGTACAACGTTTTGCTGCTTTTCTATGACATGAAAATGCACTTTCTCTTCCCCAGTCCCATTTTGAACTGTTTTAGAGGGACTGGATAAAACTATGAATTAATTCAAATTACTTCTTTGGTTGCTTATTGGAGTGTGTTTTCTGTGAGATGGGATCATGACACCTCCTGACCCCAGCCTGTCTGGTACAACCTTGTCCTGTCTGTGAAATAATCCCATGCATTACGGTGTTCCCATCTGGAAACATTCTCACTGGAAGCTGAGGAGAAAAGAAAATAGGAACGTTTCTCGTCTAGGGGGTTGGAGGAATGTCCTGCCAAGGGGTATTCCCCAGTGAAGGAGGGGGACCCACTCATTACCAGTTACTGGCAAGGACAAGAGAGAGTCTGGAGCTCCTTTTTCTCCTCCCACCCCCTTCACTCATTTTCTAGCCTCTGCCCTAGTTTGGATCCTTACACTTGACCCTGCCTGCGCAAAACCTGCACCTCCGTCCCTATCTCCTGCCTTTCCTCACATGCTCCAGGCTGAGAATTAACCTCTTTCTTCCAAAACACCTTCTCTTCCCTTTGTTCCCAATGGAAACTCCATGCCCTCATGACATCTGAACTACCCGTGAGGTGATCAAACATCTCCAAACTTTTCACTTGGCCAACAAGGTGATGACACCATAACTGAGGTCCTTTAGGATGAGGAACACCTAAATGTTTGGGGGATGAACTTTTTATATGTGTGTTGTCTCAGTTTTGCATGGCTATAAAGGAATACTTGAGGCTGGGTAATTTATAAAGAAAAGAGGTTTATTTGGCTTATGGTTCTGCAGGCTCTACAAGAAGCATGGTGCTGGCATCTGCTTCTGGTGAGGGTTTTAGGAAGCTTCCAATCATGGCAGAAGGCAAAGGAGGAGCAGATGTGCCACGTGGCAAGAGAGGGAGCAAGAGAGAGATGGGAAGGGTGTCACACTCTTCTAAACAACCAGATCTTGTATGAACTGACTCATTACAGTGAAGACTGCACCAAGCACCTCATGAAGGATCCACTCTCATGACCCGACCCACACACCTTCCACCAGGCCCCATCTCCCACACTGGGGACCATTTTTTTTTTTTTTTTTTTTTTGAGACAAGGTCTCACTCTGGTGCCCATCCTGGAGTACAGTGGTGCGATCTTGGTGCGCTGCATCCTCCACCTCCTAGGCCAGACTTCTCCTAGGAAGAAATATCTCTGTTAAAGAAGTCTGTGTCAGATTATTTCATCTGTTAGCCGCAGAACCAGAAGATAATGAGGCCTATTCGACAGAGATTAGCATTGACAAATGGTACACATTTTTGAACTCATTTCAAAGTACAAACTCCCATTTCATTTCATTTTCTAAGGCTCTGAATAACTTATAGACAATTTAATTGGCTGTATTTGGGATAGAGAATTCCTAAAATGCTGAGTATAATATTTGGATTTAAAGAAAAAGACACCATAATAGAGGCCATTGTTCAAGTAAGTAGAGACAGGTTCATGTATTTTAAACTTTGGATAAAATATAAAGAAGATCATTGAGCTCTAATTTGAAAGAATTCCACTGAAAGACTCAGAAAACAATCCACTGTGAGAATATGAGACAGAATTAAAATATTTGTTGGACAATTGTTTGCAAAGAAGCATTTATTTTATATCACTTTTTAACAAGACTGAATTGTCAAACTGTTTAAAATTCCACTGGAAAAATTTGGATTATCACAAAAGTGTTTACTCTTTTATCCTTCCTTGTATATTGGATTACTCGTGGAGGACAACGGAAAGAATCTGAGATATGCTGGTGTTAGCAGCAAATCAGACTGCATTTCAGAAACCTTATAGGCTATGTAAACACGTCACCTTTGGACATGTATTATCATAGCTGCAATATTACTGGTGCAATGTCAGGCACAAATAAATGAAAAATTCCAGCACTATCAGCAGACATGATCCTTTAGAAGATGATGGTACAAGAAAAACATTCTTCCAAAATAATGACCATGCTTGCTTAAGAAGAAAAGAATCATCTTTATTTTGTTTTGTTAAATACCACCATTAACTGCAGAAGCTATGATTCATTGCTCGTGCAGTAATATATGCCCTTTTAAAGTCATTCTGGAACTATGGCATTAACACCTATGAAGATTTTGCAATCATGTATGCCCTAGATCACTCGCTGAATGTACATTCATGTAAAAATATGTTTAGAACAAGACTGAACATTTTTTGATATTAAAGTCACTTTTGATTATTCATTCTGATACTAAATGGACATTTCCACCATTTTTCTTATAATATCTGAGTTCTAGAGGCACAGATAATTTACAATGAAGCAACAGTTCCTGGCTGCCTGAGGATCACTCAGAGGGATTACAACAACAGGTTTCTGGACTCCAGCCCCAGAGTTTCTGATTTGGTGCTACTAGGGTGGAGCAGAGAGTACACGTCTAACAAGTTCCAGGTGATGGAGATGCTGATTTCCTGGGGAACACACAAGAAACACTGCAATAATGAAACAGGCAGGGAGAATGCCAAAAGGCCATTTTTTGGGAAAAGAAAAAAATCTCTATGTGTCATCAGGCTAGGCTTGTGAAGAATGAAGAGACGGCTAAGCTTTTCCCCAGAAGCCCGGCTTCTGTATGGCCTGCCCATCTATACACAGAACCTTCTGCCTCCTGTTTTCTGTTCTCCCTTTCCTACATCCAGTTCTCAAGAGAGCTCACAGATCTTGCTATCTTAATTTACCCTAAGGTGGAAGTTAATCACAGCAATTATTCCTCGTAGAGACTTTTAAGACGGATCAAAACTTTATTCCCAAGAAACGAAATTCAAACAAGGAAAGTGCATTTATTTTAAATGGGAAACTTTTTGTTATATTTCCACTCTATCGACTCATTACACCAGAGTGATCTAAACAGCACATCTCTTCATGCTACTTCTTGCTCAAATTCTTCAATGACCTTCTATATCCTACAGGTACATTTTAAATTTTTAGCGAGACTCCCAGGCCTTTCAATATATGCCACTGCCTACATGTTCAACCTCATCTACCACTTCTCCCTCTTTCCACTTTAAATACAATACTGAGCTATTTCAAGTTATCTGAAAATGTTCTGTTCTCAGGCTCAGCTGCATAATTTCTGGGGACAAATGGAATATGAAAAGCCAAGGCTCATTGTTCAAAATGTACTAAAGAATTTTAAGACAGCAAGGGCAGAGCATTTGCCCAAGAGCAGAGGCTTCTCAGCATGGGTCCCTGAGTGATGGCAGGCTACAGGCCCATGAAGCGACCTATTCTAGAGATAATAACTCATAAATCCCCTGGCACTTGTTTTCAGGTGTCACAAAGAAACTGCTCAAATATTTTAATTTCCTTTTGCTCTGAATTACTATCTTTAGATCTGTTGAATTTTAAGTATAGGAATGCACTTGAATTTTACCACAGTGCATTTGTTCTTTTTCCAGGAAAACACTTGCATGACTAGAGCATGCAACACACTCCCTTGACCCTGGTGCCACTTACTCTCCTCAAGCCACTGTCATACTCTTTCCCTCTTTGGTACCTTTGCAACATACTATTCCCTCCTTCTGAAATGCAATTCACCTGTCTGTCATCTGATAAACTCCCACTCACCATCAGCTGCTCGGCTCAGTCTCCACCTTTGCTGTGAGGCCTTTCCCAATACCTGGGGGGCAGATTTAGGCTCAGGGTGCACATCTGCACTTTGTGATTAATTTATTGGATCTTAATCTTGTTCATACGAACAAGAGACTCTAGGCTATTCAAAGGCATCAATAGATCTTTGTATCTTCCATGTCTAGCATGGTGGCCTGGAGGAAGGATTCAAAAGTACTTCTTAAAATGAAAAGATGAGTGGTCAGCTTTAACATTTTTTACTTATTTCAAAAGTAGTTTCTTGGAAGAAAAACATTTCTAAAGCCAAGGGGTAGCTTAAATGTGATTCTATCTTTTGGAATTACTAGGTGGGGTTGTTAATTTACTTCTAGTTTCCACAAAGGGAGGACATTCTGAAGAAAGAACTGAACTTCGTGGTCTTTCAAATCTAATCCATGTGGGTTTGACCCCTGGAGATGTGTTCAGTCCTGCTGAGTGGAGGATTGTGGCAGATGGGACAATTTGAAAATGTCACCAAGAATGCCTCCCTAGACTGGTTGCATATGGGAAATTTTATTCTTATTTCAAATATCAGCAACTATTTGAGGTCTACAGTCAATTTCTTAGGGCGGACGATCTAGTCTGTGGTTGCTGTAGGTTCTTCCTGCCTCCTCCTCCTTCGTGACTTCTAACTATTCTGACTGTTGCCCTACCATGGGTGGGTGCAGAAATACCTTTCATGCTGAAATTCCAACCAATAAAGTCTGCTTTTTTAAAACGTATGGTTTGTCTATGAATTTCATGTACCTAAGCTATCTTCATTCCTGGCTGACACATAAAAGAGCATTAGCAGAATATCATATTTACTTAGGTTTTTTTTTTCCTCTAAATTGCACATATTGTTCTGAGCACAGTATAAGAGAAAATCTAGGAAATCGTTTAAAATTTTAACCTTTTAACATGTGCTTTAGCAATTGGTGTGTACCCTGTCCTTGCACACAGTCTAAGGGGTTGTAACAGCATTTGCTTGTTTCTTTCTGGCCAGGTCATGGAGAGAAGAGAGCTCATTGTTACCAGCTTTCTGCCTACATTGCTGTTCTCAATCTTTCTTGCTCTACTTTTGTTTGTTTCCTTTTCTCTTGAAGCTGGTGCACTTTCATTCCTTCAACACACCTCCAGCCTGGTGGATATCACTACTGAACTGGGAGAAAGGATGGCTAGGTCCGGGCATGAATCTAAAAATGCAAGAAAATCTTCAACAGGTTAGATGCATCTTCAGCAGGTGTTGAAACCTAAATCTCCATTGGGACAGGTAAGTTTATCCACCTGCTCTGAAAGCAAATCCTAGACTGTCTAAACCAAGTGACTCATTAAGAGGAGCAGGAAACACATGAGAAATCTTGGATTGAATCAGAAAGTCGACTAGCAAGGCAGCTTTATCCTTCTCTTGGATGTTAATGGTTCAGTTTTAATTTTAACCTGTTTGGGTGGATTTCCTATTGACTCATTCATTCTGAGTTTTGTCAAACGTGCATTCCCAAATGCAAGTCCGATTTGCTTGGATACTTAATTCATTTGGGAGCCTTAAACTTGCTTTCCTAGGCTGGACTCTCAGGGTTGGGAGGGAGTTCAATGGGTTATGCAGTCTGTCCCCATCTGACACCTGAATCTGTCCTACCACTGCCATGTCTGGGTCTGTGTCCTCTTTGCCTACACATTCCCAGGGGTGGAAAATTAACTGCTGTCCAAGGTTGCCTACTTAATCCTTGATCAGCTCTATTAGCAATATCTTCTTTTCATAAGCCACACATCAGCTAAGTTCAGCTTGCCCTTTCAGGATTCAAATGAAATTGTTTTGCATTCTCCTTCCTTATGTGGTGAGCCATTTAACAACTCTCTCAAACTCTCTGCTAATCTTTGACATGTGGGCAAGTTGTTTATAATGTTCCTGGCTACCTCTGGCTGAGGCCTAATCACTCCATGTACGGGCTCCCTCTCTTTTCTGTGCCTGCTCTCTGTTCTGTGTACCCTGTCACTCCACACTGAACATTCCCCGTCTTCCTGTTTGGACATTCTACGGGAGCCTGTCTCAAACACAAGGCTATGTGATGTGTGGGATGGATTTTAACAGGAGAATTGGGGCAATTGTTGGAGTTTACAGGACATCAACCAAACAACCTATGATTACATATCAGACACTTCTATTCTTTAAAGTCTTTCAGCCACCCCATCACCAGGAGCCTCTCTCCTTGGACACTTTTTCTGTAGCTTCGGCCTCTCAGCATGGCACTTGGCCCTGTCTCTTCTTCTAACTCCTCCCTCTTCTGTCTAGTTTCATGCTTCTATATCAACTTCTAGTTAGCTTCTTCTACATAGAAATTTGATTTTGCTTTTTATTCTTCTAAACTTTGACCTTTGGACCTCATGCCCCACAGCCTGGGCAGTTTGTCAACATATCTTTCCAAACATTGCCCATTTCCTGGAAGTCTTGTGCCAGCTGTTACCCTGCCTCCATGTGGTTACCTGAAGCCCAAGTCTGACTCACTGTAGCTTCTATCTCATTCATTAAAGCCTGCCCTCTCTTCGCTGGCCTGTTGCTCTGGAGTCATTGCTATGGTCAGAAAGAACACAGGCTTTGGAATTAGACCTGAATTTGAATCCCAGACCTACTACTCAAAAGCTGTGTGATACCCATCATGCTATCTTTTGAGGCCATGTTTTTCAGCCATGAAATGGTGACAATTATACCCCCTAAAAGCTTTGTGTGATAATTTGATTAGGTGATGCACAGGGTCTGGTATATGGTACACACTCAAAAATGTTTATTTCCTTCCCTTCTTCTTATCCAGCTTCAGACTGCAGCATTGGTGTAGGTGAATCTTCCTCAGACTGGCTGGATCCATTTATTTTGACCTCTGCCCCTTACCTACTTGATATCTTGGCTCTCAGGGATTTTTAATCCAGTCTCTGCTTTCATCCCCGTCTTTGGATTTCAGTACTCAGCTACTTCCACTCTATGCTCCAGATGCATGGAACTAGTCGGTGATCCCAAACTTTCTCATCTCTGGAAGCTTGCCATGATATTTTCCACTTTTTTGCATGGACAGCCTCTACTCAGGTATCACTTGAACACCACCCTCCCATGCAGAAAACCTTCCCTGATTCTCCCGAGACCAAGTTGGGTATCACTATTGCCTGTTCCCCCAGCACCCTGTGGCTATCCCCATGGCAGCACCCAGCACACTGTTCTGAAATCCTTTGTTACTTGGCTATACCACAGATTATAAGCTTCCAGAGGCAGAGGTAGACCCTTCCTCAAGTTTTTATCCCTAGGCTGTGGCATACAGTAGCCGGTCAAGAATGTTCAGAGGTGAAGAAATGTGCCTGCCTTGCTTCCACGTTGTGAGGCCTCATAGTCCTGACTTGACAGACAATAAGCATCGCCTTGCATCACTTAAAAACCATTTTCCTTCTCCTGTCCCATCTGGTCCCCTGGTCACATATACAATATTATAGGAATATATTTCACAAGCAATAAAGAATTATTGAAGAAAGAGAAAATTCAAGATCTACATTTCACTTAACTTTGATAAAAAGTTACATAATGTAGGTGAGATGCTGGAGTTTAGTAAACAGAGGTAAAGAATAATAAACTGCAAAAAAAAAAAAGTCTAGCAAATGAGAACCCCGATGCTCTAGGTAAACAGCATTTGACAATTGACAGATAACCATGGAAAGAGTGGGGGAATGTGTAAGAAGCATATCATGGAAAAGACAAAGGTAATACATAAAGTACTGAACACGGTGGGGATGCAGGGGCATTTACATTCATACATGATTCCCTAACTTCATTGTATCCTATTGTTAACATAACACATACGTTGCAGGAAAAGAAATTTCTCTTTCTGCCTCTCCCTCTGTTTGTCCATATGATGCTAACTAACTTGGAAATAGCTTCAGAGATGATGGGCCTTAAGTCATGGCTCACAGATATCTGTGAACTGTCCTGCCTGAGTAGTGCTTAATCCAAGTCCAGAATTTTCCAAATGGCATTAGGAGTGCTGAGATCACCGTGAAGTGGCGGCCCTCTTACTTTGTGTGAAGATGTAGGAGAACTTGTCAGGGGCGACTGAGGGAAATTCTGGTTGCCATATCTCTTTTTTGCCATCTCACAAGTAGCCCCTCAGTATCCCTGAAAAAAAAAGTAAATCAGAGATGCCATCATGGCTCTCACAACCCAAATCTCACTAACATGCAATATTTAAAAATTTTAAGTCAACAAACAAAGTAACTTGGAACATATTCTTTATTTCGGTGCTAAAGCCTTTTTTTAAAATATATAACATTCCAAACACAAGCCCTTAAATACTAGTAATATTGATACTAGGTAAATGTGATAATATTTATGATTTATTGACCCACCACATCGGTTATTTTAATATCCACAGGAACCCAGCCTGTGACGTGGGTGGAGTCCCAGGTTGGAGATTAACAAAGAATGCATCCCTGCCCACCCCGGACATGGGCTCACACATAAGAAAGCCCAGCCAGGCACATGTTCCAGAAGGCACCCTTTGTTCAGAGCTGGGCATTCCTTTGGTGTGGGGAAAGGACTGTATGATTTCACTGGCATTTCCATATCAGAGAGGAATTCGACTAGAAAGCGTTGCATTTGAGCTGTATGAGGGGACCACTCCAGAAGCAATTTTAGACCAGTTATTTGTCTTTTTTGAGGCTTAGATGCTCATTTGCACAAAGGGTACAAAATGAATAGCAGTAACAGTTAGGAAACAGGTGTGGCTATTATAACAAGTCAAAATAATTGTGGCTTAAAAGAAGAAGGCATTTATTTCTCTCTCATGCTAGTCTGAACATAATCAGTCTAGAGCTGAGAGGATGGCTCCACAGTCTCGAGACCAGACTCCTCCTGGCCTGTTCTGCATCTTCAACACTCAGCTTTCATCTTGTGGCTACATTGTCTTTTCTCAACTCTTGCCTCACGTTCACCTTCCAGCCAGAGGGAAAGGAGAAGGGGAGGGAGAAGGCACAATCCTTCCTTATGGGCATAAACCTCAAGTTGTTTACACCTTTTCTGTTCACATCCAATGAGCTAGCACTTAGTCACATGGCCACCACAATCTGTAAGACAAGCTGGAAGATGTACTCTTTAGCTGGGATACCATGGACCCAGTTAAAACTCAGTACTTATTTCATTAACAAAGCAAGGAAGAAGGCATACTCAAGAACAGCCAACAATTACCCTTAAACTTCCCTGTGATCTTCTGCTAAAATACTACAGGCAGAATGTCTCGCATAAAGTCAATGTTCAATGCTAATTGTTAACGGTGTTTTAATAAGCAAAAATTTAAGTCAGTCAATTTGATTTCCTTCTTGATAAAGAGATAAAAGAAAACTATACCTTCACACAGAGACTTACAATAAGGGTCAGATTATAAACGAGTGACATTAGGAGATAAAGTGACTTGCTTGTATTGGCCTCCTGGACCTGCTCAGTTCTGGGTACTGAAGGCTTTATCCATGGGCCCAGGCTTGCCCAGTGCCTCAACTAATCTTAATGAGGATTTCTCTGGCAGGGAGTCTTACAGCTCTGTGTTCAGAATCTGGCATGTCTTGGGTGAGTCCAAATTGCAGCTCCCTTAACACTCTATTCATTTTTCCAACTCATGCATCTGAGCCTCTGTACCACTTGTTCCCCTCCTCCACTTGTCCAAATGGACCTTATGATCAAGCCCACCCAAACATTACACAAGGGAGGTGACACACAACTCTTGCATATGTGGCAATTCTGTTATTCTTTAGAGCCATCTGTCTTTCATGCTCTGATCCCCTATCAAGTTCAAAGGAAAGAAAGGAAGGAGACAATCAGAAGCTGAGGTGGACGGACACTGTGCCAGAGAGAGATGTGCCAGGATAGAAGCCAAGAAAATAAGAACACATTTAGGGCAGTATGATTTTGCAGTAGTGAGTGGTCACACAACAGTCCTCTGTAAACTTCAGGTCACAATATATGAAAAGTCCACCACATTGAAGGGGAGGACTAAGTGGAGTGGGAGGCAGGAGGAAGTTGATTCCCACATCATTGCATTCTCAAATGATTCTGACACTCAGTAGGACATCCAAGAAGGATATACAGTAGTAACCCCTTACCTGTCATCTCATTCCTGTGGTTTCAGTTACCTGTGGTCAACCGTGGTCTGAAAATATTAAATGGAAAATTCCGACATAAACAATTCATACGTTTTAAACTGTGTGCCCTCCCTCCCCATCTTACCCAGGAGGTTAATCCTCTCTTTGTCCAGCGTCTTCATGCTATCTACCCTCCCTGCCTGTGATTTACTTAGTAGATTTCTTGGTTAACAGATCTGTTGTCATGATAGCAGAGTGCTTGTGTTCAAGGGACCCTTATGTTACTTCATAAAGGTCCTAACCACAAGAGTAGTGATGCAAGGCAATTTGGATATACCAAAAAGAAACCATAGTCTTCTTTACATGAAAAGGAGGAGGTTCTCAACTTAATAAGAAAAAAAGAATTGTATGCTGAAGTTGCTAAAACCTACAGTAAAAACAGACCTATCTGTTAAATTGTGGAGAGGAAAAAAAAAATGTGTGCTAGTTTTGCTGTTGCCCTTTAAACTGCAAAATTATGGCCACAGTGCATGACAAGCGCTTAGTTAGGATGGAAAAGGTATTAAATTTGTGGGTGGATGTGAACAGAACTGTGTTTGATTGGGTTCCTACAATCCATGATTTCAGGCACCCACTAGCAGTGTTGGACCATATCCCTCTTGGATAAGAGGGGACTATTGTACCCACAAAGCAGAGTTTAAAATTACTGTCTGGCAAAGTTACTTTCTAACTAAGATATTTCACTGACAACTAGAAAAATTTCAAATTAACCTGTGGGCTGGTCCCACTGTAAGTGGGTAAATGAATAACATTTTACAATAGGTGTTTCCTGGGCTTTCTCTATCAAAAATGCAGTAGTCAAACCAGGTAGAACAAGACTCAATTATAGGAGAAAGCTCACAGGGACTATAATAGATGAAACAGGAATATGACTCATACAATATGAGAGTGTCAAGGGATCTCAGTGGTAGCTCAGAAAACACTGTTGAGAAAGATATGGCCCTGTTTAGGCCATCAGTTTGGATAGTGACAGAGCCAAAACTGAAGCCTAAGCACTCAGGGCTTCTGGTCCAGTGAGCCTGGTAGGTACTTTCTCACATCAGAGGAATTTATTATTGTGAAAAGTAAATACTTCCTGTGATAAATCATTAATATACTTCTAAAATTTTTTTTATCAAAAAGGATGAGCTTTCAGATAATGAAACAAATTCTAGGCATATAAATGATAACATCCAACTGTTTGTTGTATAACCACATTCCTAAGGAATTTGCAGAGTGACAAATGACTTCACACAAACATTTGTTTCTGGCTGTACACTTTCTTAGCGGCTTTGGAGGAAATGTTGATTCAAGAATGCAAAAGAGACTGATGATCTGAATTGGCTGGGAATGAGAAAAATCTTATTTAAATGACTGGATCAGAGAATAAGGCAAATGTTTATGCAACACCCCTTCCAATCTGAGTGAAACAATATGGGCCGCCTATATCCAGGAAATGCTCCCTTGGAATGGGGAGCTGCTCTGCTTGCCTCTGGACACACTTGCAAGGAAGTGAAAGCAGCCGTCAGGCCTTCCTGATCAGCAATTAAAGTGGGTGGGAAATTAGCAAATTAATGTACCCGTCATCTCACACAGTTGGCAGGTGAGGGCTTTGGAAGCAGATCTAGGTGAAAAATGCACTGCACAAGGTGTCAGAGGACCTGGGTTCCAGTCCTAGGTCTGTCACCATTGTTCCAATTGTGTCACCGTGGGCAAGTTACTTAACCTCTCCGGTTGGGCTTCAGTTTCCTTCTCTGTAAACTGAGAGCATTGGACTACATCTTCTCCAGCTCTTCTGTTTTCCAAGGATTCCTATTCAAATGCCTACAACAATCATTCTCAACATAAGGGAATTTTGTGCCCCCCAGCCAAAGGACATTTGGAAATGTCACACTGATTGTCACAACAGAGGAGAAGGTGCTACTGGCATCTGCTGAGCACAGGCTAGGGATACTGCTAGACATCCCAAAATCCACAGGACAGCCTCTCCACAACAAAGAATTATCCAGCCCAAAATGTCAACAGTATGGAAGTTTGAAAACACTAACTGAAGGGACAATATAATGATGAGCCCATTTCAGCCAATCATAAATCTTTTGGCTTTTTAAGAGAACTTGAAATTTTGGATTTTTATGTAAATATCCCAAATTTAAAGTATAGCAACATGTCAATTTTTTAAATAAAACACGCTAGGGGCCAAACAAAACAGGGCTTCAGGACAAATCCTGTCTGCAGGCTGTCAGTTTGTGGAATCTTATTTAGCCACATACCGTCCAAGTAATTAATGTAATTTCGCTGAAAGCATGGATTCCTCCATCTGCATCTGGTTATCTGAGCTAGAGCTAAGCGGGTCAAGGTTAATCCACATTGTGCTCACGCACATGTGTGCAATGTAGTGGAAAAAACACTAAATGAAACAACCAGAGATGTTACTGCTTACCATCTGTGTAATCCTGGATTAGAAGCCATTAAATTCTCTGAATAACAGGGTCTCCATTTTTAAGGAGGTTCCCTATCAATATCGTCACTGTCTACTTCTCCAGTTTGTCACAGCATAATAGTATCTTGGAGCAGGAAGAGGCTTTAGAAATCACCCAGTATGCAATTATACCCAGAGAAGTGGTGTGACTTTGCCTACAAGCCCATGGTCAGTTAATAGAAGACCTGGGCTTGAAAGCAAGGTGTCTTGACTCCGTGTCCCAAGTTCTCTGAAGAGAAAAGAAGGAAGGTGATGGGGGAAGAGTGCCAGATGTGTCTCTCAACATAGGCTATTCCAGATGTGGTCCACCAGCACGTGGCCTTCCAGTTGTGCCTGAATAACACCAGATGTGATCCAAGGATTAAATGTGAAGGGATGTGAAAGTGCTCTGGAGCCTGTAAACTGTTAGCCTGTCTCCCAAACGTAAGGATGGTGTTAGTATTAATTTGTCTCTGCTGTATGGCCACAGGCAGCTCTTGGCCAACAGCAGTGTGAGTGCCTGGTGGTACTGGTCATAAGAAGGCCTGAGTCACAGCACGTGGCTGGCTCAGCACACAGTTTACTCATAGAAAACCAGGCAAAAGCAGATCAGTAACATCACTATGGCTGCTGAAAGGCAGTGTTGTCACAATGCCATGAAGACAAAAAGTTAAGTTGCCATTATTAATTAACATGAGATAATGGCATTAAAAGATAAATCTTCAAGGTCAACCAAGGTTTATAGACATCAAAATCTCTGCACTCCTGCCCTGTCTTCTCTAAGTATCTTCTATACTTTCCTGCTTGAGACTTTTGTTTTCCCTCCATGTGCTGGGTGTCTTACCCCCTTTCCTCTGCTTATCTAAAAGCCTCCATCTCTCAGGGCAGGACAGGACATAAGGTCTCTCACTGAGCCTTCGCCTGAATGAAGTGTGTGCTTGTGCCCACAATTCTACTACACAGGTGACTTTCCTGTCTTATGCCAGGTCAGGGACCAACCACATTTTGTTCTGATGCAGGTGCAGCCAACTCCTCTTGTTGGCTTTAAGTTCTCAGGGTTAATTCCATCTTTGTTTAGCATGTTCATTGTAATTACATGGGAGAGACTTCAGTTTTTGCATCAACTTTCAGCGTTTTTTTTCTTCCTTAAATATCACAGTTATTCCGTGTCAAAATTTCTCCCAAGTCTATTGTGAACATCACTAGCAGTTGTGCTGTCTGTGCAAAGAGTGAGACGGAACATGCTGATGTTGCAGCTGCTGCCATGTACTCGGCTGCTCCAGAAGGTTTTACATTTTTTAATGTAATGATAGAGGTTTCAGTTACTTACAGGATGTAATTTTAAATATATATTTGCAATAGAACCAGCTTGATGTGCTTACTTTTCCATTAATAGAACACTCTGCACTTTTTGGAATGCATGTACCAACCTTCCCTTAAAGCTCAGCTGAAACTTTAACTCCCTATTAGGCTTTCCAACCAATATCTTTCTCCTCTAATTTTCCTTAGTTCTGTCTGCTCCACTCATTTAAGGCCTATAATCCCTCTCTTATTGTTTCTAACCGTTTATGTGTCATTACATGTTCCTTGAAGGAAAGAAGATTCACCTACCCTTTCTTCTTCTACCTAATACAAACTACTCACCTCGCAAAACAATCAATAGTTATTTGTATCCACCTTGTGTAGCTTAGTGTTCATTGCTGGAGTTTGTGAGGGCTGGGGGCCTAATACACAGTATCTCACTTCCCAGTTAGAGTGATGAACATTTAGAAAAGTAAGACAGGGAGGTGAAGAGATAAGAGATGAGTTACTAAAGATGAAGTTGGAAGACACAACTCAGAACGAGGCGGTTGGGTGTCCTCATTGTCCACTGAACTCAGTGGTGGTAGGTGGTACTCAGTGAGAGCTGCCTCCTGCAGATGGGGAGAAGGCTGACCCCACGGAGTGGTGGAGAAAGGATTATCATGTAGACAGCTCACTCCCAAAGGAAGAGGGATAGAGGTATTAAACTCAATCATATCCATTTCAAATAGACCAATCCGAAAATCAGTCTAGCCGCTTTGAGGCAGAGTGGGTGAAGGGACAGACAGAAGTCAGGAGGCTTACACTTCTAAGTTCCCTCTGCATGAAGGCCACATGAGAACTGCTCCTCCTCAACAATTATTTTTAAATAGTCAAAAATCTATCAAATTTTGAACACACCTCTTTCAAACCTTGCTAACTGCCAACACAATCTTCTGAAGTTATCCATCACTCATGAAACAACAAAAACAAAGAAGAAGAGTGATTTTATAACATCATAAAATGCTCGTGTTACTAAGGATTTGATATGGTTTGGCTGTGTCCCCACCCAAATCTCATCGTGAATTGTAGCTCCCATAAGTCCCACATCATGGGAGGGACCCGGTGGGAGGTAATTGAATCATGGGGGCAGATCTTTCCCATGCTGTTCTCGTGATAGTGAACAAGTCTCAGGAGAGCTGATGATTTTATAAAAGGGAGTTCCCCTGCACACGCCCTCTTGCCTGCTGCCATGTGAGAAGTCCCTTCGCTCTTCATCTTCCACCATGATTGTGAGGCCTCCCCAGCCATGTGGAACTGTGAGTCCATCAAATTTCTTTCCTTTATAAATTACCCGGTCTCGGGTATGTCTTTATTAGCAGCATGAGAACAGACTAATACAGGATTAATACACCAACACTTTGTAATCTGTTCACTGGACTAAATCCTTTCTTTCCTTATGGCTGCATAAATATGACCTACCTATAATTCACCCCCACCTCTCCAGAGACTAGAGGAACTGCCTAAGTATGAATGAGGCCTGTTCATCTCATAGAGATTGGAAAGAAGGATGATATCTGTCTAAGAGGTTAATTAGGCCAATTCAGGGAATAAATTCAAACCCATGCCCAAGATTTTTTAGGGTAAGGGAGCAACTTAGTTTATAAGGTAGCAGGCTAAGGTTTATGACTTAGTACTTGATACTTTCTTCTTCCTTTTTTTTTTTTTTTTTTTTTGAGACAGTGTTTTGCTATGTTGGCCAGGCTGGAGTGCATTTGTGCCATCATAGCTCACTGCAGCCTCAAACTCCTGGGCTCAAGTGATCCACCCGCCTCAGCCTCCTAGGTAACTGGGACCACAGGCATGCACCACTACACCCAGGGTCTCACTATATTGCCCAGGATGGTCTCAAACTCCTGAGCTCAAGAGATCTTCCTTCTTCAGCCTCCCAAAGTGCTGAGATTATAGGTATGAGCCACCATACTGGCCTCTTATTCTTAATAGTTCCAAGAAGAAGCTTAGAGTTTCGAAAATAATGCTAACAGGATGTGTCCTGTGGTGATAACTTTTGTGGATAAAGAGTGAAATTTCCCAATAAGTAGGTGTTGATTTCAAAGAGTGGAGGAATAAAAAAGGGCATTATATCTTGGAAAGAAAAGTAGAACTGGGGACAAGAAACAAGGTTAGGAACTGGGGTGGACAGGACTCTGCTTATGAAGCCTTAACTTTGGAGATTTTTCTTTTTGATTACAGAAATATTAAGTGGATGGTCAACTTTTTTTCCCACGATATATCATAATTCTCTTTGGTTTTGTCTCGTGCATAAGAATAGTCAGCTATGGGAGCTGTGGCTTATGGTGCAAACATCGCCAAGTCCAAGAACCACACCACACACAACCAGTCCTGAAAATGGCACAGAAATGGCATCAAGAAACTCCAATCACAAAGGAACCCCAATCACTAATCTCTAAAGGGAGTGGACCCCAAGTTCCTGAGGAGCATACACTTTGCCAAGAAGCACAAGAAAGGCCTAAAGAAGATGCAGGCTAACAATGCCAAGGCCATGAGTGCACGTGCTGAGGCTATCAAGGCCCTTGTAAAGCCCTTGAGGTTAAGCCCAAGATCCCAAAGGGTGTCAGCTGCAAGCTCGATCAACTTGCCTACACTGCCCACCCCAAGCTTGGGAAGCGTGCTCATGCCCGCATTGCCAAGGGGCTCAGGCTGTGCAAGCCAAAGGCCAAGGATCAAACCAAGGCCCAGGCTGCAACTCCAGCTTCAGTTCCAGTTCAGGCTTCTAAAGGTGCCCAGGGCCCTACAAAGGCTTCAGAGTAGAGATCTCCATCTGTCAACGTGAGGACAGAAGGACTGGTGCGACCCCCCTGGGCTGCCGTCTGCATGGGGCTGGTGTCTTCCTGTGCTATTTGTACAAATAAACCTGAAGCAGGAAAAAAAAAAAAAAAGAAAACAAGAATAGTCAGCTACATCTTTATAACCTTGTGAGGTGGCAGTAAAGAGCGTAATGGCAGAACTGTCAATGATAGTGAAGCTTATCCCATGCTCAGTCACCACCTCCTTGACCATCTCCGGCTCCACAGAAGCCTTTGAAGATGTGGCAGAACCACACCAAGGAAGAGAGGGGGAATCTATGTATCTCAGATGAGTGGTAATAGTGATGCCTCAGAAACAAATATGAACTAAATTGCATAAGGAAGTGATTCTTAATGGGGAGAGAAATCTGGCCTTTAAGTTATTTATGGAAAAGCCACAACTATCGTAATAATACAATCATCTATTTCCTTGAACATCATAGGAGCCATTTCATTACATTGGCATAGGTTTTATAAACAAACATAGATACTAACCATCAGCCAAGTAAGAGATGCTCAGTGATTCTTTCATCAAAACATATTGCGGAGTTGCTTCCTTTTCCTAATTTGTTTCTATGAATAATCTGTGGAGTTGTGCAACATGCACATGACACATGGAAATCAGAGTTATGGCTTTTATGTAGACCACATTGTTTTTTTGCCTGTAAATTGCCTCCAAATGGCTTGAAAGAAATACTGCTTTATAGTTTAAGTCAACCAAGAAGGGCTACCTGAAAGCATTTACACCTAATATTCAGTAGAGCCTACTTCAGTGATCCTCCATCGCGCCATGGAAACAGGCTCTATCCGTTAGGGTTTCTGCCTAAGGAACACTCCCACTCAGGTATAAGACAGTTTAGAAGTCTTGTGCTGAAAAGGTACAGGAAGAAAATACAAAAGCCAACTGATTGGAAGAAATCTGCAGCATCCTAAAAGTCATTGTAATTAAAACACAGAAGTTTGTAATTATTCTGAAGGAAAACAACATACTAAGAAAGGCACAAAAATATGAATGTGGTTTCCCAAGGCCTTGCTACATTAATCCAAATTGACTTGGGCAGATATGAAATCCTCAGATGGGCTGAAAACTAGTTGGAAGGCTTAAAACAAAAGAAAATGCAATATAATTAGGTGGAAAGAGCAGCCGATTTGGAGTCACTGGAATATGGTTAGTTCTGCCATTGACTAACTGACTGACCTTTGGCAATTCATGGAACTTCTCTGTGACTCAAATTTTAAACTGGAAAACAGGATATTATTACTTAACCTTGGGTTAAAAGAATGTGTGCAAAGGCTATTTTGTTTTCAAAGGCTATTCCCTTCCACGCCTCTTTCCTTATCTCTGCACGGTGACAGACAACCCCCACCTCACTTCTCCACCAGGAACCTGCTTCATTTTCCTTTTTATATTCAAATTATTCCTTATCATAGGCTTCCTAGTTCACAAATTTTGTTTTTTATGTTTCCTAAAGCCAGCATTGAATATTGTATTTTATTTATTTTTAAACTATAGACATTTTATTTGGATAACTTTTCCTATAAAATCATATTTTTTCTCATCTTTAGTTTTAAATAGTTTTTAATTTTTTAGTTTTTGATTTTTTTACTTTTTTACATATATATTTTTATTTTTAAGTTTTGTATTTTTAATTATTATGGGTACAGAATAGATGTGTATATTTGTGGGTTACATGTGATGTTTTGATATAGACACACCATGTGTAACAATCACATCCGGGTAATTGGGGTATGCATCACCTCAAGCATTTATCATTTGTGGTAGGAACATTCTAATTCCACTCTTTTAGTTATTTTAAAATATACAATAAATTATTATTGACTGTAGTCATCCTGTTTTTAATCTTATTTTTAATTGATCAGAACTATATATGGGGTTCAATGCTATATTTTCATACATGCTTACGTTGTGGAATGACTAAATCAAGCTAATTACTGAATCCATCATTTCACATACTTATCATTTTTTGTAATGAAAACATTAAATCCTACTCCTTTAGTAATTTTGAAATATACAGTGCCTATTATTTATCACAGTCACTATTCTGTGCAATAGATCACTAAAGCTTATGCCTCCTCTCTAATTGAAATTTTATACCTTTTGATCAACATCTTCCTCATCCACTCCTCTTCCCAGCCTCTGGTAACCACCATTCTACTCTCTACTTCTTCAACATCATATTTTAAAATTAATCCACTAGTATATTTATGTTGAGTGTCTCTTCAAATTACACTTCAAACTAAGAAAAAATTTTCTTATTACCCTTTTCTCTTCAGTTACCATTGCACCTTCTTGGCTCCTACTATTAGCTAAAGTTAATTCACTGTTCAGATTCTTGACATACATGAAGTGGTCAAACTTAAAGGGACTTGTTGAAGTACACTTTCAATGAAGTCAGTCACATCTGTGGTGACTTAGAGATATTTCTTTAGTTGTCTGGGAATAATGTTTATGTGTTTAGAATCATCTGGAAAATAAATTAAAATAAAAATTTCTGAAGCTTCTTTAGGAGATTCTGATTCGAAAAGTTTAGGCAGAGAACCAGGAATCTGCATGTTTAATAATCACCCAAGCAAGTAATTCTGATGCAGGTAATCCATAGTCTACACTTCCAGAAACTCTGTTAGAGGTTATTTAGCAATTCCAAAGGGAATCTGGAGTTTTGAAATGTTGTGTTTAAAAAGAAGTACTTTAGAGAGGGGAATATTAGTAAAATGATTTTTTTTTTTTTCTTTAGACAGAGTTTCACTCTTGTGCCCAAGCCAGAGTGCAATGGTGCGATCTTGGCTCACTGCAACCTTCACCTCCCTCCCGGGTTCAAGTGATTCTCCTGCCTTAGCCTCCTGAATAGCTGGGATTACAGGCGCACGCCACCACACTCAGCTAATATTTTGTATTTTTAGTAGAAACGGGGTTTCACCATGTTAGTCAGGCTGGTCTCGAACTCCTGACCTCACGTGATCCACCCACCTCGGCCTCCTAAAGTGCTGGGATTACAGGCGTGAGCCACCGTGCCCAGCCAAATGATTTTTTTATATTAAAAACTGTGATACTAAAAAATGTGATGGAAGCAAGGACTTGAGTTGGGATGGTAGTTTGTTCACTCGATATCTGTGTGCCTCAGGGAAGTTAATTAGTCTTACTTTCCTAATACATACCATAATAACACCATTAGCCACTGAAGGAGGTGTGTAGGGATGAATGAGATAATACAGGTTAAAAACAACAAAACCTTTAGCATGAAAAATAGAATAGAAACATTAATAATGACCCTTTTATTACTGACAATTTTAAAAACTGGATTATCAAACTAAATGAAGAAAAGCTAAGCCCAGATGTCACACATGCCTTTTCCATAAATTAGTGTTTTCATTTATCTGAAGTATGAAGGACGGGCTTGTCAACACTCAGTAGCATACCCAGGCCAGAGGCAAGCTAAGGTGCTAAGTAAGGTGTGGCTGAAAAGCAGTTATTTGGCTTTAATTCAATAAGACGTGCATTTGATTTAGCAAAAAACACTGCTACTAAGTGTAAATATAACGTAATAGCAAAACTATTTTTTCTTGCACCAATTTCTTTCAAACAACTCTGAAAAAAAGAAAAAAAATACCAGTTACAAACTGGCTGGAAATGAGTTATGTGATTTCCCTATTATCTGGAAACGATATTTTATTCTGTGCAAGATGTTGTAGGTAGGTTACAATTACACTGATTATAAATTTATTATGTCTGGATTTTGGAATTTATCAAAAGACAAACTGAGGTATGTAGCACCTTGTATCTTTCTCTCTCCCCTACCCCTTCAAATGTATATACTCACGTATGTTTATAACATTCATACAGACTGAATGTATAACAATATAACATACACTCTTAATGTATGTGTGTGTATACGTGTGCACACCATTTTCAAATTAAGAAATTTTTAAAAAAGGGAAAAAGTTTTCAGTAAAATTTCCCAACAGAAAATGATTCAACATAACCTTGGAAAATACTTTTATATTAACCCCAAGGCAAAGGATTGTATCCTGATCATCTTTGCATCCCAGGTGATCTTGTGTAGTGCATATAAACATTAGATTGAAAAAATAATCATTGTTGTTGAGGTTGATGTGATCTTTGGAACAACAAGATTTAGGTGGGTCTCTAGAGATTCTGAAGGAATGGTAATGTAAAGAGGCCAGATGTTCTCCTGAGGTTTGCTTTATCTTTTGTAGTTATAAGACAGATCAGGTTATGCTATAATAATAGAAAACTCCCAGTTCTCGGTGACTTACCCCAAAAAGGGTTGATTTTTCAATTATAACCATTTGTAGATATAGGAGACCCTCTAAGGTAACTGTACTTCATGTGGTAACTCAGTGATGCTGTTTTGATCTTGTGTCTCCACAATCTCAACAAAAGGCCTCTTCCACTGTCACCCAGAGGGAGAGCTCTGGGTTGGAGGGTCTGGCAGCAGTAAATAAATGGTTTGGCTTGGCATGATACACATCACTCTGCCTGCAGCCCCACAGTGCTCGTGGCATTGCTCCACCTACCTGCCATGGAGTAGGGAAATAGGATCAATCTATCCTTCTGTCCCAGAAGCAGAGATCTCATAATGTTATGAAATTCATAACAGTATCATAAGCCTTTAAGGTGGAGAAATCATAAAAAATGAATTGTTGAAGAAACTCCTTAGTAATAATAAGTAACATCAGATCTTAGATGCTGATTACAGAGGGGAACTCTGAGTTTGAAAACATTTTATTTAACCTAACCAAAGCTTACGTTAAAATCAAGGGGAACTTATTTTAAAACAACTTTTAAATGCCATGTATCTAGTATTTTAATGCAATCTATCTTTCCTTTGTCAATTATAGCTCAATAAAGAATTCTAAATAATTACAGAAACTGTGATGATGGCATGTTCAATGGAAAGCTGATTAGAATGTATTGTTCTGAGCCAAATATTCATTTTATTGCTAAATATATCATATTCAACAAATGGGAGTTTGACAAAAAGCAAATTTTCCTTCCTTGGACCATTTACACTTTTTTCTTGGAATTCTTAGAAAAATATTATAATGTAATGTAATTATAATGTAAACTCATGTAGGCAAAGCTTTGGTTTCTGGTCATAGCAAAATATCTATAAAAGAGTGATATGGTTTGGTTGTGTCCCCACTCAAATCTCATCTTGAATTGTAGCTCCCATAATTCCCACATGTTGTGGGAGGGACCCTGTGGGAAGTCTTTCCTGTGCTGTTCTTGCGATAGTGAATAAATAAATCTCTTGAGATCTGATGGGTTTATAAAGGGGAGTTCCCCTGCACACACTCTACTGCCCACTGCCATGTGAGAAGTCCCGTTGCTCTTCCTTTGTCTTCTGCCATCATTGTGAGGCCTCCCCAGGCGTGTGGAACTGTGAGTCTACTAAACCTTTTTCTTTATAAATTACTCAGTCTTCGGGTATGAAGGTTACAAGAATTGAGTTGATTTTCTGAAACTTCTTTAGAATAGCTTTTATTTCTGGGACTTTTCAACACCAGATTCCAGATAGATTAAAAAACTGATCAATCTCAAACCTGATATATAAAGTTGACACAAACAATTTAGAACTAAATTGTTAACATTTATTTACCATATTTAGTTTCCTCTTCAGTCATAAAGGTATGATTAAACTTATTGGCTCAGCCATTGGAATTGGCTAGAGATCCTTGAAGAAGAAAAAATTTTATGAATTTAAAAGAAACAGAAGCCAAGCTTAATTTTAACCTTTCTTCACAGTCTTTAATCATATCATCAATCTTCTTGTTTGGATGTCATTTAGGATAGGGTGAAATACCATCTGCTATGGAAAAGCTCAAACGCAGTATTTTCTGGATGTACTGGACTAGGTAAAGTCTGCAATTCCCCTCCAGACCTAGGATTTGATGTGTAGACAGAACGTGCAATTTTGCAATCTGCTGAGCCAGAAGAGGATTTAATATTACATCCAGAACTGTACTCAAATTGTCAAAAAATGTTCAATAAAATAACTGTAAATCATACTCAGTTAAACTAGCTGGCAAAGGTAGCATGACAAAATTGAGAAATAATGCATATGGGACATAGTGATATTTACATGTTTTCAGGGCTTACGCCCTGGGTGGCTATTTACAAGACAGCAGTTTCCACCCTTCCCCTCCACTTCAGGTTTGATACAAGGCCAAGTCCTCAATCTGACTTTATATGACTGTGGTCTAGTTCAGATTAGTATTTGTCACCACTCTTCATAGCAGACAGGAATTCAGCAGACTGGGGAAGAAGGAAAAGGAGGACAGGGAAGAAATTAAGGGACTAAGTCTGTTGAAGGTAAACATACCTGTGATCTGCTGCCTGGGATAATCACAACAGTAAAACATGAAGTTTGCATGCCAGGCAGATGCTCACAGTTTAACACTTTTTAGATAACCACTGAAGGAAAGAGCATCTTAGAATTCTCAACATATTTGCTGCCACCAAAAAAAAAAAAAAAAAAAAAAAAGTCATGCAATAAAGCATTATTTTTATGCACCCTCTCTGAAAATGTTTTGCAGAATTCTAAGCTTCTTACTTAGAAGCTAACAGAACATCTCGCTGGAAGATGATAGATCATAAACATTCTTCAAATAAAGTAAGACACAGTTTAACAGAAAACTGTCAATCAGAACAAATGAATCAGTATAACAAACATATATATATTTTTTGAGATGGATTCTCGCTCTGTTGCCAGGCTGGAATGCAGAGGTGCAATCTCGGCTCACTGCACCCTCCGCCTGCCGGATTCAAGTAGCTGGGATTACAGGTGCCCACCACCACGCCCAGCTAAGTTTTGTATTTTTAGTAGAGCCGGGGTTTCACCATGTTGGCCAGGATGGTCTCGATCTCTTCACCTCGTGGTCTACTGGCCTCGGCCTCCCAAAGTGTTGGGATTACAGGCGTGAGCCACTGCACTCAGCCCAAACATATTTTTAAAAGCCAAAAAATAATATATCATCAATCCTAAAAATATTAACAAAAATAGTGACAAATTTAAAAGTAAGGATGATGTAAACAGCCACTGTTTCTTTATGAATACAGGACATAAACTCTTAACTACGGGCCAGACACGGTTTTAATTGCTTTTTATGTATTAGCACTCAAACAATCTTATGAAGTACATTCTATTGTCGTCTTTCTAAAACTGAGGAAACTGAGGCACTGGAGATCTTATATGTTAAGCTGGTAAATGACAGCCTTGAGACTTGAACCAGGGAGGCTGGCTCCATGCTGGATGAACTATGGTAAGTTATGAAAGGGAGGAACGCAAATCTCTAAGTTTTGCAATGGGAACAATACTCATTTATGTATTTCCAAATAATATGTGATGTGGTTTCCCATGCTGATATCATGGATGAGCTGTATCAGTTTCAATGAATAGGTAAAATTTGAGGAAAGAAGCTGGTAGTTTCAGGTTTTGTGTTATGTTCTTTCTTTGAATAAAATTTAGGACAGAATGAAATTACTTTATTCACTCTTTCAATTTTCTTCTTTGAAAATGTTAAGATTATAATGCTTATTATGCCACTGACTTACTGATTTGGACTGATGATTTTAAGAATTGATTAGAGCTTTGGGGAAGATTAATCTTCTGGAAGAATTTTTATTGTTACATTATATTAGCTAAATTATAGTTGATTTCTTGATTTTATATTTCAGCCAGGCCTTTTTTTCATTAAGCTAATGTAACTCCAGGTTAAGTCACTGTATTGAAGTAGGATTGATTTTCTTGAGCTGTGGAACATAAGTCTTTTCCCACTAGGTAAACAATAGCAATTAAATGAAATTTGGCATAGAAGGGAAATGATTTTCCCACAGTTTTGTCCCACCAGCATACAAACTGGTCTGATGCCTCACAAGCCAGAGGGCTTAGTGCAGCTTTGGTGATATACCACTCAGCATAATCTGGTTGTCAAAAAGCTGTGCCTGGAGCTTGTGCTGAGAAAGATCATTAGCATCCTTTGGTGGGAGATATATTACAAAAGTGAATCCAAACAGAATGCGTGGCTAAATTTAAAAAAGTAGGTGAATATTACTTGCAAAAGGCAATACCTGCCCTTGTGAAAAGCGTGGGCATCAGGCCGACCTGGTATGGAACCGGCAGTGATCATTGGTAAGTTAATTAGCCTCTGTAAGCATTGCTTTCCTCTTCTTTAATAGGAGGTATCTACCTCACAGAACTGTTAAAGGCACTCACTAGTTGTAATATGACTAGCACAATACATGGTATAATTCAAGCTCAGTAATTTTTTAAAACGAAAAGCTACTTCTCAACAAATTCAATTACTGGGGCGGGGGGGGGGGGCGGTGGTGTAAGTAAAATAATTTCAAAGGCATAATAATTAGACATTATTTTGCATTCCCCAAAGTCCATTTTGGAAGTCTGAATCTTTATATGCAGTTACTCATTTTCTGCTTAATCTTTAAAACTATGGTCATAATGATTCTCCAGGCAACTCTCAAAAACAAACCAAGGCAGAAATTCAAATTTAAATAGACGAGTTTCTATTTTTAGGATAATTTTGGCCGAAGATCAGAGAAATCCTTTCTTGGTGGCACTAAACTAGAAGTGTTCCCAGCTCTAAGAATCATACACTAGAAAGTTTTCCAGTAAGGTCTCCTTTAATCTGTACGCATTATGCAATTAAATAATATATCAACAGCACTGGGTTCTCAGCTTTCTTTTTTTCTTGAAGTGTTTCACATGCATTTGTACTCATGACATGCCTACTCTACACACCAATCTTAAAAAGAAAGGAAGGAAACAAACGTAACTGTGTTTGTGTGATTAGGAGAAATAACTTGGTTACTGCTTCCCCTCTGGCAAGGGAATCTCTATATTTGCATTTTCCAAGAGTAGCCACTAGTCACATGTAACTATAAAATTTAAATAAAATAAAATTAATTAGTGTCCTCTGTCACACTAGCCACATTTCAAGTGTTCAGTAACCACATGTAGCTAGGAGCAAGCAAGCTGGGCCGTGCATATAGAGAGAGTTTCCATCATCTCAGAAACTTTTATCAGGTAACATTGCCAAATGATTGACAACGACGATACCCAATTACAGTATAATTTTTCTTTCTTATTAAGTGTACTAAGATACAGGCACCCTCTATTCTTTAAAAGTATGTAAAAATACCTCTAGCACAAAATGTAAAACTAAAGACCATCTCAGACCTTTATTCCCACCCCTTCCCCTTGTATTGGCTTACTTAAATTATTTCATGGAAATGGAATGGTTCCAGCCTTGTGATCCCATGTTCTGCTAGTGAGCCTATCAAATTCACCTATGTCATAAAGAAGCATGGCATGGCTCCCTGACAGCTTGTTGAAGTAGGATTGCCTGAGGCTACCTGACACAGTCCACCTATCAAGTACTCCTATTAATCAGCTGAATATATAATAATTAGAACAGCTATTCAAAAAAGGACATGTTGGAACTGTTACCTAAAAGCCAGGTGGTTTTAGGCAATAAAATGGCCCTTTCCTTTCCTGCTGCTCTTATTTAAGATTTATTGGATTTTGCAATTTTCCCTCCCTCTTGACCCCATTCCCATTTTACTTAAGCTTCCTATCTGGTATTTCTTGGTCAGTGTTTGCCATGATGACAGAATTGGTGATGTCACACAGCAGGGAGAAGAAGAGACAAGAGTAAACTTTTCATGGCCAGTGAGGCTAGTTACATGTTGTTGGGCCTTCATGCCCTGCTGGGCTTTTCCTTAACTACCCTGTACCAAGCTCCTATTTGCTCGACACTCCAACTCAGTCAGAGAATGTCAAGAATAGCCTGAAGCTGCATATTCTTTTGCAGTATATGCAATTCTGTATGAAAAGATTCACCAAAAGGTAAAGGGGCCAGAGAGGAAAAGACAACAGGAAGGAGTCCTTTTTTTACTCCCAGATTTCTCACCATCACAAATGGAACTCTTAATCAAAACTGAACGAGAGTGTGGATATTTATAACACTGAATTCTGTTCCCAAGTAAACTTTCAAGGAGAGAAACTTTAGTTTGAGAGTAACTAACAGTAGAGTAGAAAGAAGCAGGCAGGTCAAACTTTAAGTCATACAGAAGAAAAGGGGAAGAAAAAGAAGCCAGCTGACTCCCAAGAGGTTACATACATATCAATGGAGGTTTGCATGTCTCTTAACTATTCATTTACTTTCTCCCTTTCTTCAACTCAGTTGAACTTTTATCATCTGCAGACTTGATTCTGTTAGCATCCCTGCCTCAGTGACATACATCACAACAAATGGCTTACATCTATTCCTACTATATTGTATATGTTCCTGGAATCAGAATGAGACAATGAATACATTTTACCATAAAGACATTACATTTACAATGATTCAATAAATTTAGGTTTTAGGAGATCATTGGCTATAATACAGAATACTTGGGGGCAAGAATGGAAGCAAGTACTCTTTTAGAAGGCCATTTCAAAAGTCTAGGCTAGAGATCATAAAGACTGGTTTGGTAGGTAGTGGTCAGAATGAATGGAAAAAGACAGATGGATTCAGGATATATTTTGAGTAGAGCTGACAGGACTGAGTTTGGTGTAGGGAATGGGGAGGGGAAGCAGGGAGGGATGATGCTGACATTCACTGAGATGAGGAATATTAGAAAAGACACACATGAGAAAAGAATTTGGGTGGCAGAGGTGGAGTGAGGATGAAGAATACTGTTTTTGATATGTTAAGTACCACATCTAAGTGGAAATATCAAGTAGGCAGCTGAATCTAGGACTCTGCACTTAAATGGGCTGGAGCTACAAATGTGGTGGTCTTTAGCACATGGAGATTATTTAAAGCCATGGAATCACATAGAAAGAGGGAATAAAAAAATAATGAGGGTACCATCCTTGTTACATTTGAGGTTAGGGTCTAAATAACACTGCGTTATGAGTTTTACAGAAGTTTAGGTTTCTCTGTGGACTATTTAATATGTATAATTGAGAATATGCATCTAAAATTCTAAGGAATAGGCATAAAACACATATTTCTGAACACAAGTATTCTTCCTGTGCGGAAATGCCAGTATATCAAAGGATTTATATTAAGTAGAATCACTGTTGCACTTTGAATTCATTCACATAGAAGTGAATACATCTTACTCTTCAATGACCGTAGCTGGTTATTTATCTGGATTGCTTGGAACCATACAGACCAGTTTTATAAAAATCTTATTTGATATTTCTACCTAGTTTACTGCATTTTCTATAACTGCAACCAACTGACACAGAATATAGAAGTTTTTTCCTGCTTTATAAGAAAAAAAGAGAAAATTATAAGAAAAACATGTATTGTTGCTTATTTTTATCTATAAAAAGCCAAGAATCATAAAAACATATTAGTTTGCCTATAAAATTATAACATATAATGAATTTTAAAGAATAGCTCACTGAGACCATAGGTATAAACTTACTAATTGAATCACTAAGTGTTAAACATTTTTGTAGAGTTGAATTAAACATTTACATTTGGCAGCTAATCAGGCAAAAAACCAAAAAATACTATAGGAAAAATGTTTCAAAAAATGTAGTGCTGTTTAGTGGTTGTAACAATTTCAGAAAAAAGTACCTCAATAAAAGGGACAAAACTCAAAATTCATTACATATATATCTTGTCACAAGAAATCTTCTACTATCTATTTTCAGTATCTGAGCTGTGTTGAAGTCAGCAATTTGTACATTCTGTGGCTTCATTTTTTTTTTCTTTTTAAATCAGCTACCAGACTTCTGAGAACCGAATGTTTGCCAGGACTGAGTCAAATTTTCCTACCTTTTGAATAAGTTTGTTTCTTGATTTCTGTGTATTTCTCACAACAAGGCCAATCTGTATCACAATTCAGAGTCAGAAATGAATTGAAAAATACTGTCAGATATTCTTGGCATCGTTATCACCAGGACTCATACACTGCTCTGGACATTCCCTGATCTGACCCAATCTTAAGCACCTCTCCTCTCTTTACACATAACTTCCACTGGGCCCTCTGAATCTTCTACTCTTGATCACAAAACTTTATGCACTCAGTCTGTCCTCTAAATGTTGTTGCTCCCTATGTGTTCCAACTCCAAACTGACGGACCAGTAGGTTTAATGCTGTTCTATGGCCCTCTCAAGCAGACGCTGTTTACTCTTGTAGCTAGGCCCAACTCAGCACCATATGAAATGATTTCACATATAATTTCCCATATGTTCTTCCCTACTTATATTTAGAGGATCTTCTAAATTTGGGTAGCACATTTCAATCAATGTGATTTAGTCATTTGAGTATCATTGGAAATGCAGAGTTCATTTTAGAGTTTTCAGAAATTTTACTGATTTATATAGAAAGTAGGTTTTACTGTTTTATGAGCGTTAATTTTCTTACAGGATCTCATTCAGAAACACAGCAACTTTAGCTAAATCCTTTAAAGCGGTAGTCAGAATCTATTAGCTGGGAATTAGTTGGTTAATTACATTGCAGGTGCAATAATTGTTTTATTGATTGATTCAATTATTTATTAACTCAATTATACACTAAGTCCTCACTACAGGCTAGGCACTATGAAATGCATTGATATAACAAACAAAACAGATGTGGTCTCTCTGCTTAGGAGGAGGCAGACATAAATAAAAACACAAATTATTAATTATAAATAACAATTAAAACATTATTTAATTATATAAGTACTCCATAGGAAAAGTTCAATATATAGTGACCCCAGGAATGGGGACAATTTAAGGGGGAGCAACTTGTTGAGAATGAATGCTTGGTAAGGTGGGGTAAGAAAACAAAACCAGATCAAAGAAAATTCTACCTGCTCTTTCCCTTCTACTTATATATACCAATGATTGGTGAGCAAGTAGCCTGTGGATTATGGGGGACTGGGTGGGCTAAAAATGTGTTTATCAGTTAAATTCAGAGAACAGTTTTAGTTTTGCCTGGCTTAAAAAAAGAGCCCAGCAGTCACAACTGTGGGCTCTCATATATAGTGATAACATCCACTTACTGTGATGCTGATGGTGATGCCTACAAGTAAGGAGCCTGTGGATTCAGAACACATTGGCTTTCTGCTTTTTGTTAGCAGAGTCTTTGGAGATATGGCAGAGCTGTTTACTAGTATGTAAACAGAAGACTAGAGGCAGAGTGCTTTGATCAAAGTCTCCTTTTCTTTGGGAGTTTTATAAATATTTTCCAGGTTTATATATACATTTTTTATTATTCAGATGTATTACTCTTTTAAATATAGAGAACATTTCCTGATTCCGTTCAGTTTAATTGTCAGATAAAAAAAAAGAAGTTATAATAATAGATAACTGACTCACTGAAGAATAACACCAATCATAGGGACATTGTTCTGGTTTTGATTTCAAAGCAATCACTGAGTAAGCCTCCTTTGAAATGGAACGTGAGTCAGCATTCAGCAAAGCTGAGTTTAAACCTCTACTCTAGATTCTGAGTGACAGAAAGCTTTTAAATAGGGCACTGTTTGTTCATAGTTTTGGGTATCTGTGATTTACTTGGCTTTGTTAGACAATAGAGGCTTTGGTTCAGTTATATTTTTAACATTCCTTAAAATAAATCAAAGAGTGTTCCCATTTTGGATGCGGATTGGTACGGTAGAGGAAATGAGAAGCCAACAAGTGCCAAGTATCCAGGGATTACTTGCTGGGATCTGTGCTTGACTGCTTTGGGTAATGTTTTTTGGTTGCACATAATAGAAACTGGCTCTGGCTAGCTTAAGGGAAAAAAGTTAAGTGGAAGAATATTGGAATATTCAATATAACATATTGGAAGAATATTCAGGTATCTCACAGAATCTGAGACTCAGGAAAAAAAGGGTTGGGGTCACCTCTAACCTCAGAAATAGGGGTTCATGTCTGTCTCCCTATGGTAAGGAAGCTGAAGTGATGTCACCATAAGACTTTTCATAAGAGGCCCACTTGGGGTCAGGTCTTCACCTGTGGGTCAGTCAGTCAAGGTTAGAGGGGCAGAATGCTATGCTTTAGCCACTTGTTTGTAGGTACTCACACCTGTATTTTGTGATTAATTTCCAGAGAAAGGGAAATTATTATAAACTGGAGGCTATACCAGCAAGCACTATATGGGGTACTTTACAAGATTTATTTTTTTAATAGCCTATAAAAATCACTCTTTCTACCTCACAAATGAGAAAACTGAGACTCAAATTAGTTAGGCAGCTTGTCTAACTAACTAGTTAGGCAGCTTGTCTAAGGATCTACAATTAAAATTTAGCAGGGCTAGAAGGCCAAGCAGGTCTATAAGGAAGGCTAGTCTTGTTCTTAAAATATTCGAGTGATAAAACGACTTAGGATAGAAAATTTCAACTTGAGAAAGAAAAATTCTAAAAAAAAATAAAATATATTTTTTAAAGAAATTTAAAAAAAAACAAAAAGTAACAACCAAATAAGTTTGGGAGCTCTTTTTATTACACTGAGAAATCTCAGAAACGTACAAAGCCCATGAAAGTAGATGCATTTCAGAAAATAAGATAAAACATTTGCATACATACATATTAATGACATTTTAGTTTTGAATTAAAAATATTCATGATTTTGCATTGAAGCATCCTGCCTGTGAATTAAGTACATTCTGAAATACTGGGAAAAGATTTCATATATCCTGTACTTGAACCTAAATTCCTATAAATGGCTGAGTTATATTCTCTTTCTAGAGATTAAGTTCACAATTTGATTTGTAGACTAATGGTTTTATTGATTCAAAGTATCTTTAAAGAGCAGAAATAGGAAACAAGCATACACCACACACACCCCTTTAGTTTAAGTGATATATCAGATCAAAGTTGAATTAATATAATAATCTTTAGTGCTTTTAATTGTATTGTTTGTTTTCAGTAGACCAATGAAAATACATAGATCCAACTGCAGAAGAGGTTAGGTAATGCCGGAATGATTCTCTATCATATCGGTGTTTTATTTCCAATTATACAGATAAATAAGTGATGTTGAAATCCATGCTATTTCTATCCTCAAAATAAGATAAATGTATGGTTACATTCTAGCATCTCATCAAGAGTCATCATGAAACAATAATATATTTACTACTTTTGCAAAATAATATATAATAGACTCCCACAGGCTATAAAGTTTACTTAATTAATTTTGGTAATGTGGCACTTTACAATGGCTTTTGGGTCATATCATACTCTGTTGCTGCTACTACTAATAATAATAAAATAACAGTAAATGTAAAGAAGAAACCAAAAGAAAATAAATTAGATCACTTGATAGTTCTAAATATTGTTTTGGTTTATCCTTGAACTGGAAATCAATTCTACATGATTTGGAAAGAAAACAAACACATCTTTATAATTCAGAGTGTGTATTTTGAAGGTGTAATATGATTTATCCAATGCCAGTGTGGGTTTGTCATGTTCTTTTTATTCAATGTCAACTGGTTCCGTAGCTATTAAAGCACTTAACTGTTTCTGTGCACAGGAGAGGAACAGTTCCAAACTGGACAGGCTTCTTTGGCGGATGACTTGATCGAGCTGTTTAATTTTTTTAAAGAGAGAGAGAAAGAGAAAAAAAAATACTGAGTTGAAGGATAAAGAATATTATGTCTCTGAAGCCCACTAGAAAAAACTTTCCAGATGAGACAATTTAGGAAATCAAATAGTACTTTCAACTGAATGACAGTAAAGTCACTCTTTCTGGCCTAAATCATCTAAGATGAGATGATAATCATTATAGTTTTATAACTGATGTTGTTACTCAGTTATTAGAGAAATATCATACATTTGATCAGAATGATTTCAGAAAACATAAAATAGTATTAAAATGCCAGTTCTTAGTGTATATACGCAACCAAACATCCACAAATATATTACAGATACAAGTAACAAAATAAGTACATAGCACAGAAACACAGCATAATCACATCATACACAGGGTTTAGTGGAACAAATTATAAGGGAGGAGATAAACAATTTGCTGAAATTAGAGAAAGTTTTGGGGAAAAGTATGCTTTAAAAAACATTTGAGGCCAGGTGCAGAGGTTCACACCTGTAATCCCAGCACTTTGGGAGGCTGAGGTGGGCGAATCATTTGAGGTCAGGAGTTTGCGACCAGCCTGGCCAACATGGTGAAACACCATCTCTACTAAATATATAAAAAATTAGCTGCGCATGGTGGTGCACACCTGTAATCTCAGCTACTTAGGAGGTTGAGGCAAAAGAATTTATTGAACCCAGGAGACAGAGGTTGCAGTGAGCCAAGATTGCGCCACTGCACTCCAGCCTGGGTGACAGAGTGAGACTCTGTTTTAAAAAAATAAAACAACACACAAAATATTTGATACTGTTGAAACTTTTTTTGTTCTTGTCCCTTGGCTAAGGTAGAGATGTTTTATTAGGATGTTTTAATATTTCAATAGCAAACTCATATGGTAAACGAAACAAGAGGGTTAGTAAGGGAAATCATTTGGATTATATATAATAAAGAACTCTCTGGATGGTAAACATTATTGAATATAAGAAGAAAAGCTTCAAACTTTTTGGCCCTAAAAAATTTGCCCATAGGGTAAAAATAACAAAACTAGGCAAACACATTCCCTATAGGTTACAGAACAATGGAGGAATTAAAAGACAAATAAATTCCATTTCATAATATACTTGTCATACTTATGTAAAAGTTGTCATTCTTCTCACAAGCCCCTGCATCCCCCACAAAGGCAAACCTGAACAATAATTCTCATTAAAGTATACTTCCATAATCTACTATACTCAAAATGGCTGAAAAATTGGATGACTAAAATATTGAAATATTCTAAGAATTAAACAAACAGAATCACTATATTTAGCAAAATGCTCCTGTAAAATCATTGAACTATACTGAATCCCTTCAATTCCAATATTCGGAGATTCTATTATATATACAGAAGTAAGATTTCTGCTTATCATTTTTCCTCACAGTTTTTTTTCCTTCTTCCTCTACTGGATGATACCTTCAGGTGAATACATACCTTATGCTTATAAGACTATTAAACAAAAGAGATCTTAGAATGTAAGACCCAGGTACGCAGAAATCTTGTCTGTCTTGCTAACTACTTTATCCCTAGCATCTAGAGGGGGTCTGGCACATGTTAGACAAGCAATAAATATTTGCTGAGATTGAGTGAATCAAGATACATAACCCCAATCAAACAAGGCAATCTACTGGAAAATGACAGATGTACTTTTAATGCTAAGAACCAAAGCATGCTAACCTAATCTAAAAGATACATGGGAGATTAAAGTCATAGTTTTAAAAGTTTCATTTTAATATATGTAAAACAGATTGAAATCTAAGTATTTTCAGCTTCTAAAACTATTTTGCACTTGGTCTAAATTAAACAGTACAGAAGAATATACCAATACTCAGTTCCAGTCCATTCTCCAGTGATTTCTGTCTACTTTTGGATGTTTTTAAGCATTTAAAGATGGGTTTTTAAAAATATGTGGTCCACATCTTATAATCCTTATAATTCTTAAGTTTGAGAGGGTCCACACAATCACTTTATTTCATTGCCATTACTGGAAGTTTTCCCTATCTCATTTTAAAAAATTGCTTAACTGTATTTCATAATTTATTTAGCTACTTTCCCATTGACAGACATGTAAGTTTATTCTAACTTTTTTGTTGTTTTTCAAGCAATAAAATTTACAACCTGAGTGCACACCCTTCAAAAGATGTTCAAGGTACTGAAATCTGTCACATCTGCATATTGTAAATTGTGATACATATTGCCAAATTTCTTCCCAGAGAGTATACTAAGTTATCAGTCCCAACTGCAGTGTTATAGAGGATCAGTGTCTCTTGTTTTTTTTTCCTTTTAAACCGTTGCATAGTTTTCATTTTATAGTTATAATATATGTAACAGATATTTTAATATTCTAAAGCATTATATTCACAGACATTAAGATTGTTCATAATATTTGGCTATTATAATTAAGGCTGTAATGAACATCCTTCAACACAGACCTCTGTATACACGTGCTAGTATAGCTTGTGGAAATTGTATGAGCCAAAGAATATGTAGTTGGCAATGCTACCTCCAATTATAAATCAGCTTTCCATATATGCAGGAACCTGTCTTTAGGCTCTCCATCCTGTTCCCTTGAACAATTCACCTATCTCTACACAAATGTAATGCTATTTTAATTACTACAGCTTTATAATAAACCTTAATATAACATATATTGCCAATATAAAATATTTCAGAAGAATATAAATTAGTGGGCATTTGTAAGAAAACTGAGTTTAAGAAGGAAGTGACCAGACTACAGATAGTCTCATAACTCTTTTATCATAGGCACAAAATATAAGCAGAACTCAGCGGTATATTATTTTGAGACATATAAGTAGGCAAAAACCCATTTCTTTTTAAGGTAAGTAAACAATGCAATAAAAACTGAACTGAGGATAGTTGTATTTGGAGGATGAATCTGGCAGGATGAGATACGTAATTCAGTTTGGAGGTGGCTTCATGGGTGTTTGTTTTACTATTATGCTTCATAACTTGTGTACATATAACATATGTGCTAGCTTTAACAATTCAAAATCCTTCACAAATCGCCCAGAACAATCAGGAGATACATTAAAAACAAATATGACTTAATATCTTAGAATTTTTAGAAGCTAGATAAATGAGAAACTTTTCTCCTTTTGAGGGAATATAGTACAATTTCACAATGTGTAACAAGCATTCAACCTCTGTTGCTAAGTAACAATAATCTGAATTTGTGCATTCAAAAGGAGTATTTCTGTAATTTTTTAAGAGGATATATATATAAGGACAAAAAAAGTTTGATAGATTTCTGTTTAAACACACCACACGCTTCTCTTGCTTGTGTTAGATGTCACCAAGGAATTACTGACTATAAGATGGTAGGCATGAAGGTTTTGGTTTTAGGCAGCTGCCAAGGCTCACTTCACATCTTTACCACTCCCTCCCCAGAGCACTCTGAAAGTAAGAATCCTTTAAATAAACAGGAGCACAATACTTTAAGAAGCAACAAGGCGAACCGATACTGTATGAGGAGGAAAACAGAGATTGGGCCATCACAAAGCTGAGCTTCCACTTTTGTGGGTCCTTCTTGGGCATAGTACATAGATCATGGCTGTGGGATGGAACACATACAACCTTTCTCTTATAAGGATGTTGAATTCCTCTCTTTGAAACAAATACATCAAACTGATGTTCTTGGCAAATTCCTGAATTTCAACAGTTACTGTTTTATTAGGCATGACCTTCTTATCCTTTATTGAGGCGAGAAGAATTTTGGCAAAATATTCACCTTTTTTGCTCCTTAAGGTATGGGACTTAGTTCTGTATTTGTGGCTTTCATTTCAAAGTGAATCAAAGATTTGTATTCTGTGACATAGTAATGAAAAATATTATGTCCAGAGTAGTGGTGGCAAATATTTTTTTGATATGGGGTTAAAAATCTCTTCATAATAGAGTAGCTCTAACCGATTTGTTTTCTCTTCCATTTTCTGTTGCTTTAATTTCTATTCAGCTCTTACACATATCTGAAAAATCTGGAAATTCTGAAGTTTCTGAAATAGACAACTAGGCTTCAGTTTGCTGGTATAACTGCTGAAAGCCTTTTAGAAGCATACTACTTACTAAAATTTTTAATTTTATTAAGCTTGTGGGGGGAAATAGCATGTCTTCTTAATAATTTCATGTATTAGATTTACCCTTTCATGAGTGTTTCATGCCATTGCAAAAGTAAAAGAAAAATAAAACATCTCTTGACCTTAGCTTTTTATTTGCCAGTCATTAAAATGCAATATGATGGTGAATTTACATTGGTCTAAAGTGCAACATTCAAAGTCAATTACAAACACATCTGGCTTATTTTAATTGGACTGTTTATTAAGAAGACTGTTCACATCCAAAAAGATATAATTCATTGTTTTGAAATATATATATGTGTGTATGTGTATGTGTGTGTGTGTGTCAAATACACATAGTACTAATTGCACTTTCAATGTTTTGAGCTTCTACCAACAAAATACACTAAGAAATGTGAACATGTTACATCTACCTTTATCAATGTTACTTTTCCAACTTACACTCCTACATATTTTAAATTAATGCTTAAAAATGACTTCATTTTTCCAAAGAGCTAGGATGGCTATCCAGCAAATCCACTCATGGGTAAAGTGACTAGAGAAGACCACTTAGAGAAGGTGGTAATTAAGAGACTTGAAAAGAGACAAGAAGGGAGCTATCTAAAAACATGGGGAAAGAAATTCTCAAGGTAGCTGGAAACACAAGGAAAAAACTCCAAAAGGGGGGTGCAGACTTGGTTTGATGGAGAACTGGTAAGAAATCCATTAAGATTGGAGCAAAATTACCAAGGAGGAGACTGGTAGGGGAGGAGATCAGAGAAGTAGATGGAGGCCAGAGCATAAAGGGCCCTAAAGGTTTGCAGTTTGATGGGAAGACATTGGAGAGTTTTCAGCAGGAGTATGACCATGCTTTGTTTGAAAAATATCGTACAAATTATTACGTGGAAAACAGACTGTAGCGGGACAAGAGTGGAAGAAGAAAAGCCAGCTAGGAGACTTTCAGTCTGGAAAAGATATAAATTTGACCAGAATATTGGCAATGGTGGCTTAAGAACAGTTCAGGTTTAGGATTTTAAGACAGGACCAACTTGAGTTGCTGATGGATTGGAAGTATAGATGAAAGGAAAAGAGAAATAAAAGGCGATTCTTTGAATAATAGTGTCCTATCCTGAGATATGATAGACTGGAGCTGGAGTGAGTTGGCCAGAGGAAAACTGTTTTGTTTCAGACATGATAAATTTGTCTAATCTCATCAGACATGTTGGAGATGTCAGATATAGGGGTCTGCAGTTCAGGGGAGATATCAGGCCTTGAAATAAAAACGTGGACGTCATCTCCATATAGAAGGCATTTAAAGCACAGATAAAAATATTTAGGGAATGAAAGTGGATAAAAGAGAAAAGGTTACAGGACTAAGTCCTGGGACACTCGGGGATGTCCAAGGAAGAGAATACAGTCATGGGTTCTTAGTTTCTGTTTCTGATTGGGCCAGTAAAGTCCCTTCCCCATCGCTCTTTTCTGCTTATCACTAGAAACAGAAACTAAAAACCACGGCTTCAAGCTGCTAAAAACCTAAAGCAAAACAAAACAGAACAAAAACAACAAAATAAGGCGGGTTGCACAAGCTTGCTAGCACATGATCTTGTAAGAGAACAGTGGGATATTCGATTCAACAGATAATTATTGTAATGGGTTGAATTGTGTCCCCCAAAAAGATATGTTCAAGTCCTACCCCCACACTTGTGAATGTGAGCTTATTTGGAAATAGGGTTTTTGCTGATGTAATTAAGATGTAAACTGAGATGGGCTCTTACTGGATTAGGGTAGGGCTTCAATCCAATCACTAGTGTCTTTACACGAAGAGAAACAGAGACACAGATACAAAGGAGAAGTCTATGTGAAGATGGAGGCCGAATCACTAGAAGCTAAGACAGAGGCATGGAACAGACTTCCTTAGAGCCTTTGAGAGCATGGCCCTGATGACATCTTGATTTGGGGCTTCTGGCCTACAGAATTGTGAGAAAATAAATTTATCTTGTTTCAAGCCCCTCAGTTTGTTGTAAATTGCCACAGTAGCCCTAGGAAACAAACAGTTATTTTCCAGATTGTTAAGGTCCTCATATATCAGAGTAGTGTTTCTTACAACGTGTTCCACAAAATGCCATTTCTGTACAGCATGTGTCCTGCTTATTAAAAATAAAAAAAATACCTTTAAGTCAAGTAAGTTTGGGAAATGGAGGATTAAAAATGTTCACTTTCTATGAACTTCTCAGAATCACTGAAAGAGACTCTGAACCAATTTCAGGATAATAGTTTTATATAAAATACATGTTAAGAATAATTTGGACTCTAAAATATTCAACATAATCTGGCCAGTGGTTTGAACTAACGCAGTGCTGGGTGCCTTAACTTTGAACGTCAGAAAATTTAGGCCTAACCTCTTCACCACAACATTCAAAGCCATCATTCGCATTCCATGAAGACTTCAAATCAGAGTTCCTGTCTCCTATTCTTTGAGAATACTTCTTGACTTTAGAGTATATTCCACATCTATCTATTTAGATAGTTCAAAAATGTCAACATATAAAGAAGCTGTGTAACTTCCCAGCATGCACAAGATGAATTACAGATGCTCTTTTAGAGCATGAAAAATGGGTATAAAGAGTCTTAAAACCTTTTGACCACAACTAAAGAACTATTTTTTTCTTTTGTTTTAAAGATGCCTGGTAAGTAAATTCTCTGTTTTGAGTCATCTAAAGTAAGTTCATCGTATTTGCATAGTTCTGTCTTTTTACCCCAAACTACCAAATAATCCACTGGGAAATGGAAATACTCATTTTTGCTCTTCAAGAAATCATCTGGGCAGAATCTACTATAACTTTCCATATGTAAAGTTTAATGAATTTGAAAAGAAAATAATTCTGGTAACAACTGTTTCCAACAATTTCCAAAGAAAATCTAAAAATTTCCAAAACAACTTAAAAAACAAAAGCCATAGATTTAGAATTTTAGAGAAAAGCAAAGGTGGATAATATTGTATAGTAGCTGCACAGAAATCCTATCTTGGGGTTCTGATCCATAAGGCTATATTTACATATTAATAAATATGTTCCACATCCTACTTTATAGAGTTCAATGGTAAATAAACAATTTATCTCAAATATAAGATGAATTGATTCCGGCAAGGCAGGCTAACTTATCTTAATATAACAGGCCACATAAAGTTTTTCAACCTAATTTGATTACATGCTCCAAAACAATGAAAAACCTTTTCCTATATCTTTTTTTTCAAGATCATGATATAATAAAAATATTACAATCTGTTGGATAGTCTTTTCTAAATTAAATTAACATAGGGATCCCAAATATATCATTTAGGTTACTGCTGAAGTAACAAACACAACTTCTGCTGTATTTTTATCAATTCAACTTTTATAGATTTTAGCAATCCTATTGTTTCAATCTAAAGAACAATATCTGTCAATTACTATGTATCCTTCCTTTTGTTTTGACCTTTAACAATTTAAACCTAATATTAGCAGAAGTTAGATGACCTTTAAGTTCTTGTCTTCCTATACTATCTTTAAATTCTCAAATGATTGATATTTCACTTTGTGTTTCAATCTACAGAAACAAGCAAGAGAGACTGTCCACAAGTCTTATTCTTTTCTTTGCACACACATATGGAAACTTACTTTATATTACATGACAAATAATCCTATAATGCTAGATTAAGTCTGACCTTTTCTTGTTTTAACTGTTAATACTTGTTGATTGGTAGTACTTGCTCCCTGCTATGCACAGGTGACCTCTTTATGTGCTGTATTAGTTATCTATCGGTGTGCAACAAAGCATCCCAAAACCTAGTGGCTTAAAATGAAAAGCAACAAATATTTATCATCTCACAGTTTCTATGGGTCAAGAAACTGGGCACTGTTACAGGAGTGCCTCTGGGTCATGTTCTTTACTGAAGTTGTAATCAAGTTGTAGGCTAGGACTCTAGTCATCTCAAAGTTCAACTGGGGAAGGATCTGCTTCCAAACCCACTCAGTAGCTGTTGAGAGGCCTCAAAATATCCAGCTCCAATCTAGCCCATGTGAGCCTCTCCATAAGGCTGCCTAATGAGATGGCAGCTGGTTTCCCCCAAAATAAGCAATCCAAGAGAATATGAAAGAAAGCAAGAGTGCACCATGAGAGTGAGAGAGCACTCAAGACAGAAGCCACAATCTTTTAATAGCCCAATCTCACTCAGTCCAGCCGAGACTCAAAGGCAGGGGATTAATAAGGACAAAGTACCATTGGAGACATCTACAATGTATTATCAAATTTTTATTCTCTTGGTAACTGTATGAATGAAGCCACTAAGGCTTAGCGAAGTTATGACTTGCCCAAGTAGCAGGGCTAGGACTGAAATCCAGGTGCATATGACACCCAAATCTATTCTTTAAACCACAATACTACGCTGCCTTCTCAGATAAGAACTTCAGTTATGGCTAGAGGCCTTGGCACAATATCTGTTTTGCTGTAAATATGCAGGAGTTTCTTGCATTGCATTACACTAATGCAAAAACCTGTCAAGGTGCCAAAAGCCCTGTAGATGCAGTCATTAAACCATGTAATTATCTTCTCTTAATATACAGTAGATTCAGACAGATTTCTTTATAGCAATATACAAATGGTTCCCTGAAAATGCAACAGAAGCATTTAAAAAAGCCTGGCACATTAAATACATCATATAAAAAATCCTTGCCTTAAAGAATCTGTAACCTCGGTGGCTATGTATGAAAACAACAGACTACTTACTACTTTCTAGGTTCATGATGCAATAAAGGAGAAACACGCATAAAGACAATGTGGGGTACAAATCTCACCTTGTGCTACCTGCTAGGCTTGTACAATCTTTGCCTGCTTACTTTCATATTTCCACTACTGATAAAACTGGCTAACTACACAAGTGAAAGCTGCCTGATTCCCACTAGGAATTCTAATCCCCTGGTATTCAAAATTAAACCAAGGTAACAAAGCACCACTTAATTAAATGAAAGTTACTGTGAACAGACTTTTTCTCTCTTTTTACATAAAAAGAGCTGCTCTTCCTCATCATTCAGGATTTTACAGTGATGAATCACTGAAGTCTTAAACAAACAAACAAAAATAATACCATCTATCTGGCACATTTTAAAACAGATTTATCCTACTGAGGGAACCAAGCAGGAAAACGCCCTCCTTGTCGGTACTCTTAAAATCACTGCTGCCTCCCACCTGGATCTAAGAATGTAAGAAAATCCTAACATCCCTACTTCTTGTAAACAAGTAAAGGAGATTTTCTTTCAGTTAAGAAAGCTAAACTGGGATGTTATTGCCTAAAAATGGCAATAGCACCTTCTCAAACAGATGTTGAAAAATAACACTAAACACCTATCCTAAGCCAAAAGAACAAAGCTGGAGGCATCATGCTACCTGACTTCAAACTATACTACAAGGCTACAGTAACCAAAACAGCATGGTACTGGTACCAAAACAGAGATATAGACCAATGGAACAGAACAGAGCCCTCAGAAATAATGCCACTTATCTACAACTATCTGATCTTTGACAAACCTGACAAAAACAAGAAATGGGGAAACGATTCCCTATTTAATAAATGGTGCTGGGAAAACTGGCTAGCCAAATGTAGAAAGCTGAAACTGGATCCCTTCCTTACACCTTCTACAAAAATTAATTCAAGATGGATTAAAGACTTAAACGTTAGACCTAAAACCATAAAAACCCTAGAAGAAAACCTAGGCAATACCATTCAGGACATAGGCATGGCAAGGACTTCATGTCTAAAACACCAAAAGCAATGGCAACAAAAGCCAAAATTGACAAATGGGATCTTATTCAACTGAAGAGCTTCTGCACAGCAAAAGAAACTACCATCAGAGTGAACAGGCAACCTACAGAATGGGAGAAAATTTTTGCAACCTACTCATCTGACAAAGGGCTAATATCCAGCATCTACAAAGAACTCAAACAAATTTACAAGAAAAAAACAAACAACCCCATCAAAAAGTGGGCGAAGGATGTCAACAGACGCTTCTCAAAAGAAGACATTTATGCAGCCAAAAGACACATGAAAATATGCTCATCATCACTGGCCATCAGAGAAATGCAAATCAAAACCACAATGAGATACCATCTCACACCAGTTAGAATGGCAATCATTAAAAAGTCAGGAAACAAGAGGTGCTGGAGAGGATGTGGAGAAATAGGAATACTTTTACACTGTTGGTGGGACTGTAAACTAGTTCAACCATTGTGGAAGTCAGTGTGGCAATTCCTCAGGGATCTTTAACTAGAAACAGCATTTGACCCAGCCATCCCATTACTGGGTATATACCCAGACGATTATAAATCATGCTGCTATAAAGACACATGCACATGTATGTTTATTGTGGCACTATTCACAATAGCAAAGACTTGGAACCAACCAAAATGTCCAACAATGATAGACTGGATTAAGAAAATGTGGCACATATATACCATGGAATACTATGCAGCCATAAAAAATGATGAGTTCATGTCCTTTGTAGGGACATGGATGAAGCTGAAAACCATCATTCTCAGCAAACTATCGCAAGGACAGAAAACCAAACAGCGCATGTTCTCACTTATAGGTGGGAATTGAACAATGAGAGCACTTGGACACAGGAAGGGGAACATCACACACCGGGGCCTGTTGTGGGGGGGGGGGAAGGGGGAGGGATAGCATTAGGAGATATACATAATGTTAAATGACGAGTTACTGGGTGTAGCACACCAACATGGCACATGTATACATATGTAACTAACCTGCACGTTGTGCACATGTACCCTAAAACTTAAAAAAAAACCCTAAAAATAAAAAAACCCTAAAATTAAAAAAAACCCCTAAAAAGAAAAAAAAGAAAAAAAAGAAAAAGAACACTAAACACCTATCAAAAAGAATATATAAGAAATTAGAGATTATAGCAAAACCTGCCAGTTGCCTCTCTAATATGTACTTTTCTTTATCAATAGAGCTCCCATTTAATTTTAGGAATTATGGACACACATGCAGGCCATTATTCCCAAGACTTCCTCCCAGCTGGAAATAGCCAAGAAATGAGAGTGGCAGTTATTGGGCGAAATCATCAACAGTGCTCCTTAAAAGTGGGACAGACACTTGTTCTTTTCCCCTTTTGTTCCTTGGATTTTTGTTTTCTTCCCCCAGTCATCACAAATATCTTTGCTGGAGCTCTGGCAGTCATTTTTGTAGCCTTAATGATGTAAGTCAATGCTAAGAATAGAAAAAGTACAAAGACAGAATGATTTCTGAATCCTTTTATGACTTTGTTTAGCTTCTGTACTAGCTCTGAACTGTTTACTTCTGACCTTGCTTATGCTGTTGTTATTTCTAGTTTATGGTACAAGGAGGCAAATATAAATCCTAAGTGATAAAGGTACCAACTTTACACTGTGCATATCTGTTACAACAAAAACAAAACTTTAGTTTTTACATGATCAGCTTGAGAAGTTGAGAACAAGCTCAAAATACTAAATAAATGACACTAAAATTTATGGAAAAGTTGGAAATTTTAATGTGAAGACTGGAAAACAACCAATGGAATAGAATTTCCTATAATAGCTTAAGAGTCTATGAAGAGTAAAAAAATTGTAATGATCAAGCTATGCTTATTACCTGAACATATATGTACGAAAGAAAATTTGTTTAACTTGCATTGGCAAGTGCCTCCTCCTTTTTTTCCCCCTTTCTCTGCTATGTAGAGCATCTGCAGTTATAGCTAGAATAGTGAAAAAGAAAAAAAACAGCACCTAAAAATGTTAAAAATATATTATGGGGATGGATTTAAAACCACAGCAATGAAATGTTGCCACAACAACAAATTTAACTCAGGTCCTGAAAAAAATATAAGGTTCCTAATCAACTTAAAATCATAAATATCATGGATAAAATATGATAGTAGGTTTTCCCCAGAACAAGCTGGTTCTGCAGAATAATTTTGATTGGCAGGATCTTATGGCATATATATTTATACTGAATATCAGTTTCAGTCTCAATATTTTGATGCTCATTTTCTATTCACCAGTTTTAACAGTACATATTGTTTTAAGTTGCCACAATCACTTCTGGAACAAAAAGGTATTTAAATTAATAAATACTTTAAAAAAGAATGAGTAGAACCAAAGACATTCTGATCAAAATCATCATTTAGGAAAATTTGTCCCAATGATAATAAAAGCATTAAAAGTTAATGCTGAAAGTAAACTTCTTATATCCCAAGCAGTGTTCTAAGCAATTTACACATGCTAACTCATTTATTTCTCATAATAATCATAAATTAAGTAGGCAGTATTTTATCTCCATTGTACAGAAGAACAAACTGGCCCAGAAAGGTTAAAGTACTTGTCTAAATGTACACATCCAATAAAAAACAAAGCTTGGTTTTCATCCAGAAAATCTGATTTAAAATCCCATACTCCTAATTGTATACTATATTTCTCTATGATGAAACATATTTCTAGGTCATGCTATAGTTTAATGCTAGGTTTTTCAATAAAATGAGACAATGCAGTGATGTTAAACAAATGAAAGCAAGAATAGGCCAATGATCTTTCTGTCCTTTTCATTTAAAACCTGCAGGGGCATTTACAAACCACAATTGGTAGCATTTTAGATAGAAATTTCGTAAGTTAATGTCATAACTGTGGAATCTATGAGCTGGCGTAAAAGCTTTTGCAACTTTTGTTTCTTTTTCAGTCATTCTCTTTTCTTGTCAACTAACACTGGCCTACTATATTTGATTTTTAGGCATCCCAAACAAGGAAATTGTTGTAAACATTTCCTATAGAACTGGTCCCTTTGCCATTATCTGCATTCTAAAATGTTATTTCAATAGATAAAACTTTCCATTTCCCACAATATATATTTTTTTTTTTTTTTGAGATGGAGTCTTGCCCTGTCACCCACGCTGGAATGCAGTGGTGCTATCTCGGCTGACTGCAAGCTACGCCTCCCGGGTTCATGCCATTCTCCTGCCTCAGTCTCCCGAGTAGCTGGGACTATGGGCGCCCACCACCATGTCCGGCTAAATTTTTGTATTTTTTAGTAGAGACGGGGTTTCACCGTGTTAGCCAGGATGGTCTTGATCTCCTGACCTCATGATCTGCCCACCTTGGCCTCCCAAAGTGCTGGGATTACAGGCATGATACCGCACCAGGCCCGTTTCCCACATATGTTTTATAGGTGAGAACAAAGTTCAGAATAAAATCTGGTAAAAGTTACTTAAAATGTTTTATGTTACCAATCTTTACCAAGCATCATTTCTACTGTACTGAAGTTAGGGAGTAATATTAATAAGGGCAAAGGGAGAATAATTTTGTTGTTTAAAAAAGTTATCCAAGTGCACACTGCAACTGGGATGCCACTAAAATACCATATGAATTAGTCATGCTATCCTAAGAGATCTGCTCTTTGCTGCAGTGTCCTCTCTGAGGATCCAATTAATTCATGCAAATGCACTGAAACTCTTTGTCTTCTTCTGTTTTAACATAAATAAATGGCGTTGTGCAAGGGAATGGAAGGATCAAGTAATAAAAATAATCTGTGGTCAAATGCAGACTATTATCATATAGACATTCCATGGGTATGGCTTATCCATGTGATTTGCCACTTCATTTCCTATATAGATATCATTATGCCCGGATGAAAAATAAAGACAGTTTTGCTGATGTAGTTCCAGATTTCTTTAAATAAAAGATACTAAGGAGTTTAAAAGTATTCAGGAAATACCAAGACAGCTGTACCAAATGAAACTATACACATTAAACATCTGTTAAATGTATGCATGCCAAACAGCAAATCTAATCATATTTTCTGAACACTTGTAGGTCCTACCTACTTTTCTATAAAAATCTGGAAGTCAAAAGCTGTATGAGTGTCTCATTTTATAGCTCTTTATTTCTTCAATAAAAACACTGATGTATATTTTTAAGTTTACAGTCAGCATATATACACACACAAACTTTACCAAAAATATAGTCTTTTGGTGATAGCAGAGGTTTAGATTTAAATGGATTAAGTGTCTAACCTTGCCTGGGTTGGTTAAATGATAGAGAAATGAGGGAAAGCAGGAATAACGTTTGGAGAGGATGATCACTACACTAATGCAGACTTAAAAGTCCTCTGCAGTAGTTTTTCTCAAATATAGCATTAGAGCTAGGAGTACCAAAAGTTCATTAGTTCATGGATTAGTCTAAAAAGTACCAATATGGATTCCATTTTTAAAGGAGTCTTGAACCATAATTAAGAAAAGACATGTTTGAGTCTTGCTTAGTTAAGATCAGCAATCGAAGGATTGAGGCCTCCAGGGAGTATCAGGAAGAGTTTCTACACATGTCCCGTAGACAGGAAAAAAAATCATAAGTGCTGGATTTGGTTGAGAAACTGACCATTTGGAGCAATCATCAAACAATGGGACAAAATCCCAGGAAGCAAAGAAAGCTTGACTGGCATTTCCTTGCCTTGTAGAACTTCACCTTACTATTTGATGCTCCCTCTACAAGGTTCCTTATATTGGAAAAGCCAATGACCTGTCATGGCCATTGGTATATAACTATTCATAAAAAAGTTGTATAAATTATAAATATTAAAACTGAGAATTCCTTCCTTCATTTCACTGTGTTCACTTATGATTTTCAAAGGAAGTCTCAAAAGTAGGATGGAAAGTAAGCACTGCCTAAATTATGATCATTATTCTTAGTTTACAGATTAGGAAATTAAAATACCAAAAAGTTCTATGTCTGAAATCAGTAGCATAACCATAGTTAGAACATGTAAGTGTCTAGCTCCAGAATCTGAACTCATACTGCTACAATGAATTAGCGTACATAGTTTTATGATAGAAGATGAAGATTTAATAAAAATAATATGTGTAGTGTGGTTATCTTTTTAAAACAACTGTATTACATTTTTAAGGAAGAATAAGTAATACAGTAAAAGACTATTCAGAACCTAAAATAAAACAAGTATAAGAAAAAATTAATGAACAAAAACATTTGATTAGAATCAAAATATCCATATGTGCTAAAGTACTTCTCTTGATCAAATCAAATAGTAAAGTTAGTGGAAAGGCTATGGAAACACTTTTCAAATAATGCTTGAAAAAAAATTGCAGCAAAACGACATTTAAAAATCTGGTTCTCATTATTCTGTTATTTTATTCTAAAAAGGCAAGGGAGAAGAGGAGCATGATAAATAAATATATATTAAGGGTCATTGTAATGGCTATATTTTCTGTATTTTTGACTTATAAAGAGAACTACATACTTTTAAATTACATGTACAACAAAATAATCTTTGATAATACAAAGAAGGGAAAGTAAACAGATATATTTTTTATCAAATAGTCACAACATCTCAACTATAGTTACCAATAATAAGTAATTTAAGTGTGGTTTATTGGCAAAATTACTTAATCATTAATTACTCGATAGTCAAAACCACAAAAGTTAGTGAGGAAGCAAAGATTCAAAGATAGTACATATTTTACAGCCACGTAAACTATTGATGGAAAATAAAATGAACAAATTTAATTTAAAAATAAGAACTATTTACTGTGGAAACTTGCACATAATTAAGACTATAGGTGTCTGGTTTTGACTGTGAATAAGCCAGGCACAATTCTACGAATCTCAAAAAATGGAAAAGAGATTCAATGAAAATATTTTAAAATAGAATTATGTTATATGTAAAAGCAAGCAACTTGATTAAAGCTTCTTGGAGACATGTGCTTTGCTTATAAATTAAGCATAATAAATATTAAAGAAATGCACTGATATAATTTCCAGATCACCTATGCCACTGGGGCTACCGTAACTAATCAACAGTGCCCAAATAGGGCATACTATGAGGAAATAATAGTTGTATCTTCTTGGTAGGTGTTTAATAAAGGTTTTCTGAATGAACGAATGCTACTAACCCGTAAGTTTTGAGACGGTTTTCAAACAGAACTTATACTGACCCATCTCAATATTATTTTCATGGACCAATAGCCAATGATACCCATTTTCTTCATGGCTGATAAAAGTTAGAGGTACAATACATCATATGAAATAGAGAAAACTAACTATAAACCAGTATATTACAAATCCTTGATACCGTTCTCAAATTGATTTAATTCAGTGGTCTTCAAATACTAGGTCTTGTATGACCCTCACATATATTTAAGTTGCCATCTAAAACTTTATCATAAGCTTCCTAGTTATAAAACATGGAGTTTCCTGTGTACTATGCTTGTTGACATAATAACTCGAACAGTTACTCTTTCTGATATAACCTATGTATACCTAACCATCACTTATTTAAAAAATATATAAACATATTAACTAGAAAATTTTACATCATTCCTTCTCTTTCCTTAAACTTTTGTATTCATCCCTCTGTCTCTCCCATTTTATCCTTGTAATATATCTTATGCATAAAACTTAGTTGTCATCTATTTACTTCTCTGAAATATATATAGATATTTAAAAACTAAAAATAATTGCTATGACTGTAAATCCACTAATCCCTTTTAGACATTAAATTACAATTTTTTTGAGTCCCTTCAATGTGACATAATAAGATACTACATGAATTAATGACTACTCCATTGTAAATCCACATTTCACTAGACATATTAGCAATATTTGATAGGGATATTCACCCCTCCATCTCAATCACTTTTTTCACTTTCCTTGTGGGCCATCACCTTTTTTACTTCATCTCATAAAGGTATTCCATTTGCTCATTTAGCTCTAGCCATCCTGTTCTCCTTACCTTTTCTCAAAGGTTCTCTTCTTTATCAGTCAGGCTTTTGTATATGTTGTGCCCTCTATAAGGAACTTCCTTCTTCAAAATAGCTGCATGACTTGGTCCCACTCTCTACATTCAAGTCTCTTTTTAAGTGCCAATTCAGTTAATCTCTGAGGCCTGATCTCACTCACTTTATCTAAAAGAGCACCCCAGCTCTTCATCTGCATCACTAATTCATTACCCTGCTCCTTCCTTATGCTATTTACCATCCCAAAACATCATACTTGATTGTCAGTTCCATACCCCACCAAAATGTAAGCTCCCTAAGAAAAACTAGAAACGCAGAGATTCTGATGTATTTACTTCTGTATTTCCAAAGGCTAGAGCAGTACCTGGCACATGGTGCAGCTGACTAAATGTTTGCTGAATTTACTAAATAAAGAACAAAAATATAGAAGAGACAATTACTTACTTTATTTTAGCAATTGCTCCAAAAAACTAAAGGTATTTTCAAAATTTTCAGAAGTCAAATGATATTCTGCCATCAAAAATAATGTGTGCAAATGACAGAAAACAATTACAAGAAACTGCAAGTTATTTTTCAAAGTACTCAGTACATGAGTGATGGTACTCTTTAAATTTTACATTATCTATTAATAAAATACAGTATCACATGAAAAAGAGGTCTGCATCACTAAATAATAGATAGCAGGTTGCCTTTATTTTTATGGTACACACATATAATCAACCTGAATAGGGGAAAACAAAATTAGTAATAATATATGAGATTATTTGAAAATTACATACGTTTTGAAATTTATAAAAAATTTTGATAATTTGTCGAGTCTTAATTTTTATCATAAAATCTTCATTTACTGAGGATCATTCATTTTCCAAACTTTGTTAGATCTATTTAAAGTACTGAGCGCTCTCACCTAATTATTTCTTCACGGCATTACCAATTTTGTGTTTGTGAAACTGGAGGAATTATTTAATGCCATGTTGAAATATCTCTGAAAAGCACATAAGACAATATTCTGGATTGGTCTATCAGTCTGGATAACATTCCAAATCGTAAAACAACCTAGAATCTCAATGTCCTAGTCCGTTTTGTGTTGCTATAATGGACTACCTGAGACTGGGTAATTTATAATGAACAGAAATTTCTTGGCTTATGTTTCTGGAGGTAAGGGACTTTTTGCTGTGATATCCCATGCTGGAAGGGCAAACAGAAGGTGAGAGAGAGCCTCAAGCCCTCTTATAACTGGCATAACACTGTTGCACTGGGGATTAAGTTCCCAACATATGCTTTTTGGGGACACATTCAAACCACAGCACTCAAGGGGTATTTAATTGGACCTAAAGGAGACTCCTTTCAGTGGTCACTGAAAAACTGCTTTATTTAGCAGTTTTTAAAATAACCAGTCCTCTGGTTACTCTTCTTTGTGCACTTCAAATAAAATATTAGCTACAAATATCTTTAAAAATTACTCTTTGAATCCAGGTCACACCATGGAGATATAAAATTATCTCTTAAAAAGAACCATGTTCTTTTCTGCTGACACATCCTTATCCACTCTGAGTATAGGAGAAATGGCCCTGTACCAGTTACTATGGCTGTAAAACAAATTACTGCAAAACTCAATGGTATAAAATAATTACTAATTATGCTCACAAATTCTATGGTTAGAAATTTGAACACAGCACTGCTGGGACAGCTTGTCTCTGCTCCATGTTTGGGACTTCAGTAGGAAGACTAAAAGGCTAGGAGCTAGAATCATATGAAGGCTCATTCGCTCTCTCATCTGGTAGTTGATGCTGGATGAAGGTTGGAGGCCTCAGCTCCTCTGCATGTGGACCATCCCATATGGATCCTCTCTCATACGCTAGTTTGAGTTTTCTCACAGCATAGTGGCTGGTTCCAAAAGTGAGTGTTTTCAGAGAGAAAAAGAGGTAGGTAGAAGCCTTATTGCTTTTTATGACATAGACTCAAAGTCATGCAATGTCATAACCATCACACTCAGTTTGTTGATACAGGCATAAAGTTCAGCCCCATATTAAAGGGGAAGGGAAATAGATGCTGTTTACTGACAGAGAGAATGTGGGACTGGAGAAACTGCTGTGGCCATTTTTGGAAAATACAATCTGTCACAGTTTCTAATTAAGTACTATTTCTTAGCATTTTTCATTTCCTGAGGGTGTTAATGCTATCTCCAGTTCATCTGACTGTTGCAGTAAATCAATATTCACCTAAATTACAAGCAGTTATAAATCTTCTCTGATTTCTAGTCAGAAAGAATAACTTCAATTTTTATGGGATTTGGTATGCATGAAAAAGCCAGTTTGAAAAAAAGACATATATGGAAGATTAAGCAAATAATTGATGGAGATACATATGAGAAACAAGTTATTTTCCAAATTAGTTTTATTTCAACAAACCACTAATAACTAGATTCGCCTTCTTAACTTCATTCTATTGAAGAATATATCCTATCGTGTCTCACTGAAAAATATGCCCTTGTCTACACATACATTCCTGTTCCCCATCTCAAAGCGCTTCTTCGGCAATTAGAAAACAGGAGGACCAAGTGCATGCACTCATCTAACCCTACTCACTTTACATAAATCTCATTCTTAATCCTGTGGGTTGAGCAGTGTGAACATGCTCCTAATGCCTCAATGTAAATGTTTCTCTAGTCCTATTAAAGTTACAAAACTCCCCTAGATGAATGAGTAGAAAACTCAGCTAAAGAACTCTCTCTGACCCTGATGCCATTGCCAGTCTTGGTACTGACTTCACCAGTCATCACGTCCCCTTATGCATGACATGGCTCAAACTCTAGGCTACATCTGTCTGGTATACTCAAGTCAAACCTGTGTGCTGTTCTAGGCAAAGCTCTGCGGAAGATTCTGAATAAACTTTTAAAATTTAAGAGAAAAACAGCAAAACACTAGACATATAAGAAACAAACACAAAATAACAGTCTGTTAAAATTGTTTTTCTCTTTTTAGAGGTAAGACATAATCAGTATGTCATATGTTTAAATAAAGAAGTACAAAGTAGGAAGCATAATCTCTCACAATCCAACCTCTCACAGAAAAGCATCAATCATCTTTCCTTTGCTTATTTAAATATACTTTTATATATATATACATACATACATATACATAGAAACAGATATAGCAAAATATATTTCAATAGGATCATATGATTCAGGTGATTTTGCAACCATATCAACAAATATAGATAAATATCATTCTTTTAATGGATGCATAGTATTCCACAGTAACATAGTTCATTTAACTAGTTTCCGATTGATAGACATTTAAGTTGTTTATACTTTTGAAAATATCAAAAAATAAAACTCGAGTGAGCTAAGATCGCCCAGCCTGAGTGACAGGGCAAGACACTGTCTCTAAAAAAACAAACATAAAAACCCCTAAACCATCCTCTGGGTAAGTCACAAATATGAGACTCAGCCACTCCTGCTCAAAAACCTTCAGTGGGGTGAAACAGATCATGGCAGACGGGAGGCAGGACTAGATTGCAGCCCCCACTTGGACGTACAGAACATCATATGGAGGCTTGCATCATGAACTTTTGCTCCAGAACCAGTGCAAGAAAACGTTAGGAAAGCCAAGAGAACCCACAGACCCTCTGAAGGAAGTGGATTGCTCCTGCAGGACCTGGGAGACACCCCAAATACTGTGGGTGCCCAAACTGTGGAAGCAGGAAAGGGAGATCGTCTGCCCCAGAATACACCCCCACACTGGGGAACCTGAAGCTCTAGATGATGGGAAAAGATTCTAACCTTAACTGGAACTGAGTCAATTTAGAGAGCCAAGGGAAATACAGAGGTAGAGGAAGCAACATGCAAAGCCCTGTGGGCTTGCTCTAGGGTCCCCCTGTGGGCTTGCTAGGGTCCCCTAGCAAGGCATTTTCTGCCTTGCCTCACAGGGGCCCTTGAGGAGGGCTGCCAGAGGCACTGGGAAAAAAACCACAGGGAGAAGGAAACCTCCAGTGGAACTTTGCAACAATTTGAACCGATTGAGAAGTCTCCTGGCCAGAACTCTGAAGAGGGCATGAATCCAGCGTGCAGACTCCACAGGTGGGGGGAGAAGGAAAGCCCTGCTTACTTTCACAGCTGGGAGGTGGGTAACATGGGGCAAGTTCTTAGCCCTGCTCACTCACTGCCTGGAAACAGACTTGGTGCTCTTGGCGGGGGGGCACAGTGGGAGTGAGACCAGCCATTTGGGTTAGACGGGAGCTGAGTGAGGCCTGTGACTCCTGTCTTTCCCCCAGTTTCCTGGCAACCTGCATGACACAACAGAGGCAGCCATAATCCTCCTAGGAACATAATTCCACTGACGTGGGAACCTCACCCCCATCTCCCACAGCAGTTGCAGCAAGACCTGCCCAAGTAGAGTCCAAGCCCAGGCATGCCTAGCCCTGCCACCATCTAATGGTCCTTTCCTACCACCCTGGTAACTGAAGACAATGGGCATATACTCTTGGGAGTTATGGGGCCCCACCTACCAAATGTTCCCCCCCCATACTCCCATAGCTGATGCTCTCTTGCAAGTGCCACTTCCCAGCAGGTCAACCAGCACAAAAATAGCACACTAATCAACCAAAGCTAAGAACACTCAGAGTCCATTTCACTCCCCTGCCACTGCCACCCGAGCAGGTGCTCGTATCCATGGCTGAGAGACCCAAAGATGGTTCACATCACAGGACTCTGTGCAGACAACCTCCAGTACTAGCCCAGAGTCTGATACATTTGCTAGGTGGCTATATCCAGAAGAGAGATAACAATCATTACAGCTCAGCTCTCGGGAACCCCCATCCCTAGGAAAGGAGAAGAGTATTACATCAAGGGAGTATCCCGTGGGACAAAATAATCTGAACAAGAGCCTTGAGCCCTAGACCTTCTTCTGACAGAGCCTATCCAAATAAGAAACCAGAAAACCAACCCTGGTAATGGGAAAAAACAAGGTTCTTTAACACCCCCTAAAAATCACACTAGCTCACCAAATATGAATCCAGACCAAGAAGAAATCCCTGATTTACCTGAAAAAGAATTCAGACAGTTAGTTATTAAGCTAATAAGGGAGGCACCAGAGAAAGGCAAAGTCCAATGTAAGGAAATCCAAAATATAATACAAGAAGTGAAAGGAGAACTATTCAAGGAAATAAATAGCATAAATAATAAACAATTAAACCTTCAGGAAATGATGGACACACTTATAGAAATACAAAATGCTCTGGAAAATCTCAGCAATAGAATTGAACAAGCAGAAGAAAGAACTTCAGAGCTTGAAGATAAAGTTTTCAAATTAACCCAATCCAACAAAGACAAAGAAAAAAGAATAAGAAAATATGAACAAAGACTCCAAGAAGTCTGGGATTATGTTAAATGGCCAAACCTAAGAATAATCGGTGTTCCTGAGGAGGAAGAGAAAACTAAAAGTTTAGAAAATATATTTGGGGGAATAATTGAGGAAAAGTTCCCCAGCCTTGCTAGAAACCTAGACATCCAAATACAGGAGGCTCAAACAACACCTGGGAAATTCATCATAAAAAGATAATCACCTAGGCACACTGTCAACAGGTTATCTAAAGTTAAGATGGAGGACAGAATTTTAAGAGCTGTGAGGCAAAAACACCAGGTAACCTATAAAGGAAAACCAATCAGATTAACAATAGATTTCTCAGCAGAAACCCTACAGGCTAGAAGGATTGGGGCCCTATCTTTAGCCTCCTCAAACAAAACAATTATCAGCCAAGAATTTTGTACCCAGCAAAACTAAGCTTCATAAATGAAGGAAAGATACAGTCTTTTTCAGACAAACAAACATATGCTGAGAAAATTTGCCACTACCAAGCCAGCACTACAAGAACTGCTAAAAGGAGCTCTAAATCTTGAAACAAATTCTGGAAACACATCAAAACAGAACCTCTTTAAAGCATAAATCTCACAGGACCTATAAAACAAAAATACAATTAAAAAAAAAAAAACCAAGGTATACAGGCAACAAATAGCATGATGAATGGAATAGTACCTCACATCTCAATACTAACATTGAACATAAATGGCCTAAATGCTCCACTTAAAAGATACAAAATTGCCGAATAGATAAGAATTCATCAACTAAATATCTGCTGCCTTCGAGACACACCTAACACATATGGACTCACACAAACTTAAGGTAAAGGGATGGAAAACAACATTCCATGCAAATGGACACCGAAAGTGAGCAGGAGTAGCTATTCCTATATCACATAAAACAAACTTTAAAAACAGCAGTTAAAAAAGACAAAGAGGGACATTATATAACAATAAAAGGCTTTGTCCAACAGGGAAGTATCAGAATCATAAATATATAAATTTGGGAGATCCCAAATTTATAAAACAATTACTAATAGACCTAAGAAATGAGATAGACAGCAACATAATAATAGTGGGGGGACTTAAATACTACACTGACAGCACGAGACAGGTCATCAAGACAGAAAGCCAACAAAATAACAATGCATTTAAACTATACCCTGGAACAAGTAGACTTAACAGATATTTACAGAACGTTCTACCCAACAACCACAGAATATACATTCTAATCAACAGTGCATGGAACTTTCTCCAAGATAGACCATATGACAGGCCACAAAACAAGCCTCAATAAATTTAAGAAAATTGAAATTATATCAAGCACTCTCTCAGACCACAGTGGAATAAAACTGGAAATCAACTCCAAAAGGAACCTTCAAAACCATGCAAATACATGGAAATTAAATGACTTGCTCCCGAATGATCATTGGGCTAACAATGAAATCATGATGGAAATTAAAAACTCTTCGAACTGAATGACAATAGTGACACAACCTATCAATACCTCTGGGATACAGCAAAGGTGGTGCTAGGAGGAAAGTTTACAGCCCTAAACGCCTATATCAAAGAGTCTGAAAGAGCACAAACAGATAATCTAAAGTCACACCTCAAGGAACTAGAGAAGTAAGAACAAACCAAACCCAAACCCAGCAGAAGAAAGGAAATAACCGAAATGTGAGCAGAACCAAGTGAAACTGAAACAAACAAAAAACAATACAAAAGATACATGAAACAAAAAGCTGGTTCTTTGAAACGATAAATAAAATTGAATTACCATTAGCAAGATTAACCAAGAAAAGAAGAGAGAACATCCAACTAAGCTCAATTAGAAATGAAATGGGAGATATTACAACTGACATCACAGAAATACTAAACATCATTCAAAGCTACTATGAACACCTTTATGTGCATAAACCAGAAAACCTAGAGGAGATGGATAAATTCCTGGAAAGACAAACACTCCTATCTTAAATCAAGAAGAATTAGATACTTAGAACAGACCAATAAAAAGCAGTGAGACTGAAAGGGTAATAAAAAATTACCAACAAAACAAGTCCAGGACCAGACGCATTCACAACAGCTTTATACCAGACATTAAAAAAGAACTGTTACCAATCCTATTGACACTATTCTACAAGACAGAAAAAGAGGGACGCCTCCCTAAATCATTCTATGAAGCCAGTATCACCCTAATATCTAAATCAGGAAAGGATACAACCAAAAAAGAAAACTACCGACCAATATCCCTGTTGAACAGATATGCAAAAAACCTCAACAAAATACTAGCTAACTGAATCCAACAACATATCAGAGATAATCCAGCATGATTAAAGTGGGTTTAATACCAGGGATGCAGGGATAGTTTAACATATGCAAGTCAATAAATGTGATACACCACATAAACAGAATCAAAAACAAAAATCACATGAGCCATTTGACAAAATCCAACATTCCTTTATGATTAAAACTCTCAGCAAAATTGGCATACAAGGGACATGCCTCAAGGTAATAAAAACCATTTATGACAAACCCACAGCCAACATAATACTGAACGGGGAAAAGTTGAAAGCATTCCCTCTGAGAACTGGAACAAGACAAGGCTGCCCACTCTCACTACTCCTCTTCAACATAGTACTGGAAGTCCTAGTCAGAGCAATCAGAAAAGAGAAAGAATTTTGGCCGAGAGATCCACTGTTAGTCTGATGGGCTTCCCTTTGTGGGTAACCTGACCTTTCTCTCTGGCTGCCCTTAATATTTTTTCCTTCATTTCAACTTTGGTGAATCTGACAATCATGTGTCTTAGAGTTACTCTTCTTGAGGAGTATCTTTGTGGCGTTCACAGTGGATGCCTTGGCAAAAACTCTACAAGCCAGAATAGAGTGGGGGCTAATATTCAACGTTTTTAAAGAAAAGAATTTTCAACCCAGAATTTCATATCCAGCCAAACTAAGCTTCATAAGTGAAGGAGAAATAAAATCCTTTACAGACAAGCAAATGCTGAGAGATTTTGTCAACACCAGGCCTGCCTTACAAGAGCTCCTGAAGGAAGCACTAAACCTGGAAAGGAACAACCACTACCAGACACTGAAAATACATGCCAAATTGTAAAGACCATCGATGCTAGGAAGAAAATGCATCAACTAACAAGCAAAATAACCAGTTAATATCATAATGACAGGATGAAATTCACACATAACAATATTAACCTTAAATGTAAATGGGCTAAATGCTCCATTTAAAAGACACAGACTGGCAAATTGGATAAAGAGTCAAGACCCATCAGTGTGCTGTATTCAGGAGACCCATCTCATGTGCAGAGACACACATAGGCTCAAAATAAAGGGATGGAGGAAGATCTACCAGGCAAATGGAAAACAAAAAAAGGCAGGGGTTGCAATCCTAGTCTCTGATAAAACAGACTTTAAACCAACAGAGATCAAAAGAGACAAAGAAGGCCATTACATAATGGTAAAGGGATCAATTCAACAAGAAGAACTAACTATCCTAAATATATATGCACCCAATACAGGAGCACCCAGATTCATAAAGCAAGTCCTTAGAGACCTACAAAGAGACTTAGACTCCCACACAATAATAATGGGAGACTTTAACATCCCACTGTCAACATTAGACAGATCAAGGAGATAGAAAGTTAACAAGGATATCCAGGAATTGAATTCAGCTCTGCACCAGGCGGACCTAATAGATATCTACAGAACTCTCCACCCCAAATCAACAGAATATACATTCTTCTCAGCAACACATCACACTTATTCAAAAACTGACCACATAGTTGGAAGTAAAGCACTCCTCAGCAAATGTAAAAGAACAGAAATTATAACAAACTGTCTCTCAGACCACAGGGCAATCAAACTAGAACTCACGATTAAGAAACTCACTCAAAACCACTCAACTACATGGAAACTGAACAACCTGCTCCTGAATGACTACTGGGTACATAACGAAATGAAGGCAGAAATAAAGATGTTCTTTGAAACCAATGAGAACAAAGACACAACATACCAGAATTTCTGGGACACATTGAAAGCAGTGTGTAGATGGAAATTTATAGCACTAAATGCCCACAAGAGAAAGGAGGAAAGATCTAAAATTGACACCCTAACATCACAATTAAAAGAACTAGAGAAGCAAGAGCAAACAGATACAAAAGCTAGCAAAAGGCAAGAAATAACTAAGATCAGAGCAGAACTGAAGGAGATAGAGACACAGAAAACCCTTCAAAAAATCAATGCATCCAGGAGCTTGTTTTTTGAAAAGATCAATAAAATTGATAGACCGCTATCAACACTAATAAAGAAGAAAAGAGAGAAGAATCAAATAGACGCAATAAAAAATGGTAAAAGGGGTTATCACCACCGATCCCACAGAAATACAAACTACCATCAGAGAATACTATAAACATCTCTATGCAAATAAACTAGAAAATCTAGAAGAAAAGGATAAATTCCTCGACACATACACCCTCCCAAGACTAAACCAGGAAGAAGTTGAATCCCCGAATAGACCAATAACAGGCTCTGAAATTGAGGCAATAATTAATAGTTTACCAACCAAAAACAATCCAGGACCAGATGGATTCACAGCCGAATTCTACCAGAGGTACAAGGAGGAGCTTGTACCATTCCTTCTGAAACTATTCCAATCAATAGAAAAAGAGGGAATCCTCCCTAACTCATTTTATGAGGCCAGCATCATCCTGATACCAAAGCCTGGCAGAGACACAATAAAAAACAGAATTTTAGACCAATATCCCTGATGAACATTGATGCAAAAATCCTCAAGAAAATACTGGCAAACCGAATCCAGCAGCACATCAAAAAGCTTATCCACCATGATCAAGTTGGCTTCATCCCTGGGATGCAAGGCTGGTTTGCCATACACAAATCAATAAGTGTAATCCAGCATATGAACAGAACCAATGACAAAAACCACAGGATTATTTCAATAGATGCAGAAAAGGCCTTTGACAAAACTCAACAACGCTTCAAGCTAAAAACTCTTAGTAAATTAGGTATTGATGGGAAGTATCTCAAAATAATAAGAACTATTTATGACAAACCCACAGCCAATATCATACTGAATGGGCAAAAACTGGAAGCATTCCCCTTGAAAACTGGCACAAGACAGGGATGTCCCCTCTCACCACTCCTAATCAACATAGTGTTAGAAGCTCTGGCAAGGTCAATCAGGCAGGAGAAAGAAATAAAGGGTATTCAGTTAGGAAAACAGGAAGTCAAATTGTCCCTGTTTGCTGATGACATGATTGTATATCTAGAAAACCACGTCGTCTCAGCCCCAAATCTCCTTAAGCTCATAAGCAAATTCAGCAAAGTCTCAGGATACAGAATCAATGTGCAAAAATCACAAGCATTCTTATACACCAATAACAGACAAACAGAGAGCCAAATCATGAGTGAACTCCCATTCACAATTGCTTCAAAGAGAATAAAATACCTAGGAATCCAACTTACAAGGGATGTGAAGGACCTCTTCAAGGAGAACTACAAACCACTGCTCAATGAAATGAAAGAGGACACAAACAAATGGAAGAACATTCCATGCTCATGGATAGGAATAATCAATATCGTGAAAATGGCCATACTGCCCAAGGTAATTTATAGATTCAATGCCATCGCGATCAAGCTACCAATGACTTTCTTCACAGAATTGGAAAAAACTACTTTAAAGTTCATATGGAACCCAAAAAGAGCCCGCATTGCCAAGTCAATCCTAAGCCAAAAGAACAAAGCTGGAGGCATCATGCTACCTGACTTCAAACTATACTACAAGGCTACAGTAACCAAAACAGCATGGTACTGGTACCAAAACAGAGATATAGACCAATGCAACAGAACAGAGCACTCAGAAATAATACCACACATCTACAACCATCTGATCTTTGACAAACCTGACAAAAACAAGAAATGGGGAAACGATTCCCTATTTAATGAATGGTGCTGGGAAAACTGGCTAGCCATATGTAGAAAGCTGAAACTGGATCCCTTCCTTACACCTTATACAAAAATTAATTCAAGATAGATTAAAGACTTAAATGTTAGACCTAAAACCATAAAAACCCTAGAAGAAAATCTAGACAATAGCATTCAGGACATAGGCATGGGCAAGGACTTCATGTCTAAAACACCGAAAGCAATGGCAACAAAAGCCAAAATTGACAAATGGGATCTAATTAAACTAAAGAGCTTCTGCACAGCAAAAGAAACTACCATCAGAGTGAACAGGCAACCTACAGAATGGGAGAAAATTTTTGCAATCTACCCATCTGACAAAGGGCTAATATCCAGAATCTACAAAGAACTTAAACAAATTTACAAGAAAAAATCAAACATCCCCATCAAAAAGTGGGCAAAAGGTAAGAACGGACACTTCTCAAAAGAAGACATTTATGCAGCCAACAGGCACATGAAAAAATTCTCATCATCACTGGCCATCAGAAAAATGCAAATCAAAACCACAATGAGACACCATCTCACACCAGTTAGAATGGCAATCATTAAAAAGTCAGGAAACAACAGGTGCTGGAGAGGATGTGGAGAAACAGGAAAACTTTTACACTGTTGGTGGGACTGTAAACTAGTTCAACCATAGTGGAAGTCAGTGTGGCGATTCCTCAAGGATCTAGAACTAAATACCATTTGACCCAGCCATCCCATTACTGGGCATATACCCAAAGGATTATAAATCATGCTGCTATAAAGACACATGCACAGGTATGTTTATTGCGGCACTATTCACAATAGGAAAGACTTGGAACCAACCCAAATGCCCATCAATGATAGACTGGATTAAGAAAATGTGGCACATCATATACACCATGGAATACTATGCAGCCATAAAAAAGGAAGAGTTCATGTCCTTTGTTGGGACATGGATGAAGCTGGTATCCATCATTCTCAGCAAACTATCGCAAGGACAGAAAACCAAACACCACATGTTCTCACTCATAGGTGGGATTTGAACAATGAGAACACTTGGACACAGGAAGGGGAACATCACACACCGGGGCCTGTTGTGGGGTGGGGGGAGGGGGGAGGGATAGCATTAGGAGATATACCTAATGTAAATGATGAGTTAATGGGTGCAGCACACCAACATGGCACATGTATACATATGTAACAAACCTGCACGTTGTGCACGTGTACCCTAGAACTTGAAGTATAATAATAAAAAAAAGAAAAAAAAAAGAAAAGAGAAAGATACAAAGAGCATCCAAATTGGTAAAGAGGAAGTTACACTGTCACTGTTTGCTGATGACCTGTTTACCTAGAAAACCCTAAAGACTCCTCCAGACAGCTTCTAGAACTGACAAAAGTCAACAGTTTCCAGATCCAAAATTAACATACACAAACCAGTAGCTCTTCTGTACACCAAGTGACCAAGCTGAGAATCAAATCACGTACTCAACCCCTTTTATAATAGCTGCAAACAAAACAAAACAAAACAAAACAAACAAACAACTTAGCAATATACCTAACTAAGGAGGTGAAAGACCTCTGCAAGGAAAACTAGAAAACACTGTTGAAAGAAATCATAGACTACACAAACAAATGGAAATACATTCCATGCGCATGGATGGACAGAATCAATATTGTGAAAATGATCATACTGCCAAAAGCAATCTACAAATTCAATGCAATTCCTATCAAAATACCACCAACATTCTTCACAGAATTAGAAAAAAAACTATCCCCAAATTCATATGGAACCAAAAAAGAGCCTGTATAGCCAAAGCAAGACTAAGCAAAAACAAAATAGAGAGCCCAGAAATAAATCCAAATACTTATAGCCAACTGATCTTCGACAAAGCAAACAAAAATATGAAGTGGGGAAAAGACGCCCTATTCAACAAATGGTGCTGGGATAATTGGCAAGCTACACATAGGAGAATGAAACTGGATCCTTATCTCTCACCTTATACAAATATCAACTCAAGATGGATCAAGGACTTAAACCTAAGACCTGAAACTATAAAAATTCTAGAAGATAACATTGGAAAAAGCCTTCTAGACATTAGCTTAAGCAAGGATTTCATGACCAAGAACCCAAAAACAAATGCAATAAAAACAAAGATAAATAACTGGGACTTAATTAAACTAAAGAGCTTTTGCACAGCAAAAGAAACAGTCAGCAAAATAAACAGACAACCCACAGAGTGGGAGAAAATCTTCACAATCTATACATCTGACAAAGGACTAATATCCAGAATGTACCACCAACTCAAAAAAATTAGTAAGAAAAAAACAAAGAATCCCATCAAAAAGTGGGCTAAGGACTTTACACAATTATCAAAAGAATGAATACACAATTATCAAAAGAACATAAACAAATGGCCAACAAACATATGAAAAAATGCTCAACATCACTAATGATCAGGGAAATGCAAATCAAAATCACAATGCAATACCACTTTACTACTGCAACAATGGCCATAAGAAATTTAAAAAAAAATAGATGTCTGCATGGATGTGGTGAACAGAGAACACTTCTACACTGCTAGTGAGAATGTAAACTAGTACAACCACTATGGAAAACAGTGTGGAGATTCCTTAAAGAACTAAAAGTACAACTACCATTTGATCCAGCAATCCCACTACTGGGTATCTACCCAGAGAAAAATAAGTCATCATATGAAAAGATACTTGCACACACATGTTTATAGCAGCACAATTCACAATTGCAAAAAGGTGGAAGCCATCAGGAACCCATCAATCAATGAGTAGATAAAGAAACCGTGGTCTACATACACGATAGAATACTACTCAGCCATAAAAATGAATAAATTAATGGCATTCACAGCAATCTGAATCGGACCAGAGACTATTATTCTAAGTGAAGTAACTCAGGAATGGAAAACCAAATATCATATGTTGTCACTCATAAGTGGGAGCTAAGCTGTGAGGATGTGAGGGCATAAAAATGACACAGTGGACTTTCGGGACTCAGGGGGAAAGGGTGGGAAGGAGGTGAGGAATAAAAGACTACAAATTGGGTGCAGTGTATACTGCTTGGGTGATGGGTGCACCAAAATCTCACAAATCACCACTAAAGGAGTTAAGCATGAAACCAAATATCACCCAAATCTCACAAATCACCACTGAAGAACTTACTCATGTAACCAAATACCACCTGCTCCCCAATAATCTATGGAAATGAATAAAATAAAAACAAATAAAACTCTATTGTGTGAATATGTGCCATGGAATATTGAACAAAAACACAGCCTCAAATTTGACAACATTGTTTAGTAGCTTAAAGGGCAGTTAAAAGAGAAGATTGTTTACAGAAGTACCCATACAGAATGATATGCCATTATACTTAACAAAACAGAAAAGTCAGTCTGTTCAAACGTGTTGCAAGTTAACATTTAGGGCTTGGACTCTCACTAATAAGGCCCTTGGGAAAATATAAACACCACTTCTGAATTCAGATCTCAGGCTTGCCCACCACATTCTTGTTTTCAGTTCAAGCTTTTGGCACTTCAGCCTATAACTAAGGCCTTGCAACAGATGCCAAACTAAACATTTGGGAAAAACAATTATAATGACATCCTTTTTTGTTTAAGTAATTTAAAAGCATATAACATGAAGTAAAACAAAGAAAAACTAGGATGAGGAAATAGATTAGCACAGCCTTTGGAGCACAGGAGAAGGAGAGATATGAATTTGATTACAGACATTAGTGAAATATAAAAACATAAAATTACTGAATGTATAGGGTATTGACACAACAAAGATTCACTCAAATTTACTTTTCACATCTCTATTTCTGGCTAGTTTGCATGACTGACTAGTGGGCATCTGCTGTGGTTTGAATATCCCCTCCAAAAGTCAAGTTGAAATCTAACTGCCATTGTAAGAGTATTTAGAGGTGAGAACTTTAAGAGGTGATTATCATGAGGGCTCTGCCCTTGTGAAGGGATAACTAATGTCATTACTGAGGTAGTAGGGTTGACATGTCAGGGGGGTTCCTTATAAAAGAATGAGTTCAGCCCCCTTCTCTATTTCTTGCCCTCTCATCTTCTGCCATGGGAGGATGCAGCAAGAAGGCCTTCACCAAATGCCAGCACCTTGACCTGAACTTCCTCACCAATAGAACTGTGAGACTGTGAGAAAATAAATTTCTTTTTCTTTCTTTCTTTTTTAAGACAGGGTCTCATTCTGTCACCCAGGCTGGAGTACAGTGGCACAATCTTGGCTCACTGAAACCTCTGACTCTCAGGGCTCAAGCAATCTTTCTACCTCAGCCTATCGAGTAGCTGGGACTGCAAATGCATGCCACTATGCCCAACTAATGTTTGTATTTTTTGTAGAGATGTGGTTTTGCCATGTTGACCAGGCTAGTCTTGAATTCCTGGGCTCAAGCAATCTGCCCACCTCAGCCTCCCAAAGTGCTGGGATTAGGCATGAGCTATTACACTCAGCCTAGAAAATAAATTTCTGTTCATTACAAATTACTCAGTCTTAGGTATTCTGATATAGCAGCACAAAACAGACCAAGACAGTATCCTAATGAAACCCCAACAGATTGATTTTTTTTAAAATCATTAACTTTTTCAGGTAAAGTCTGCCTCACTCTTCAAGAAGAGGAAAATAACTGTCTGCTCTTGAAGGCTTTTATATTAAACTTGTCTGAGCACATTACTGATGATGTAGAAAACATTTTGACATGTTTAGCATGAAATGCTTCAATGTCAGAAGACTATTCTCTTCTTAAAATGCCAGATTGCTCTTGTAATACTTCTGTGAACTTATTAAAAGGACATACTAACTAACCCCTTTCAATTAGTCTTTGTAATATATGTTCTTTATGGCAAGAAAGTAGTTCCCTTTGAGGGGATAGTAGTGACTGGAAGGAGTGGATGGGGAGGTGAGGGTCCGGGATGTTGGTAATATTCTGCTTCTTGGCCTGGGTCCTTGTTACACAGGTGTGCTTCCTTCATGAAAATTCATTGAGGAAAAAAATAACATAGAATCTATGTTAAACGAAACTGAGTTTTTATAAAAGTAAGCTTCTGAGTAGATGCAGCCTCAGATATTATAATTTTTGTTGATAGTTAAAACATATTAATGGGTTATTATTGATAATCAGCATTACTAAATAAAAAGAATGATTCTGCATTTATGAAACAACAGCTTGTTTAAGATTATCACTTATCACTCTCCTATGTATTTTCTAAACAAGAATGTTTTCTTTTCTTAAGTTTAAATCCACTGAATTTATTTTACAAATAGTCTACATTGAATTAAAGAGTTAACTAAAGAGTTAGCAAAAAGGGCATAAGATCAATTAGGGAAATACCAACAGGGCTACATTATTAAAATATTCTAGAAATCCCAATCTATTCTCTTGAGGCCATTTTACAAGATCCAAGGGAGAATACATGGATATGTGAAACAGGGAGAAGGTCACATTTCACAAAACCAATAATAGGAGGTACCTCAACAAAATGAAAGCTTTAGCTAATGGGGAAAAAAGTCCTCTTCTCCAGTCATTTTTAGCCTTTCAAAAATTTTTCCCTGCCGAAGTCCCCCATAAGAAATAAGAAAACAGCAATCTTAGAAACCACTGGTTTTGAGATCTGGAGTACTGGTGGTACAGTTGGGGGAAAAAAAACACAAATGATTTCTTTTTTTCTTGGGGGTGGGGAAGAAAGGAGTTTGGGTAGAGTATTTGACCTATCTACAGACTGTAAATTAGACCCTCCATTTTCACCACTTTCTTTTTTTAAAAAAGTTGAGGGGTCTATGTGCATATTTGTTACATAGGTCAACTTTTGTCATGGGGGTTTGTTGTACAGAGTATTTCATCACCCAGGTATTAAACCTAGTATCCATTAGTCATTTTTCCTGATCCTCTCCCTCTTCCCACCCTCTACCCTCTAGTAGGTCACAGCATCTGTTGTTCCAAAGAAACAGAATAGAGAGCCCAGAAATAAAGCCTCACACCTACAACCATCTGATCTTTGGCAAAGCTGACAAAAACAAGCAATGGGGAAAGAACTCCCTATTTGATAAATGGTGCTAGGATAACTGGCTAGTCATATGGAGAAGACTGAAACTGGACCCCTTCCTTATGCCATATACAAAAATCAACTCAAGATGCATTAAAGACTTAAATGTAAAACTCAAAACTTTAAAAACCCTGGAAGATAACCTAGGCAATACCATTCTGGACATACGAATGGACAAAGATTTCATGACGAAGTCACCAAAAGCAATTACAACCAAAGCAAAAATTGACAAATGGGATTAAATTAAACTAAAACAAAACAAAAAACAAACAAAAAAAAAAACTAAAGAGGTTCTGCACAGCAAAAGAAACTACCAGTAAACAGACAACCTACAGAATGGAAGAAAATTTTCACAAACTATGCATCTGACAAAGGTCTAATATCTAGCATCCATAAGAAATTTAAACAAATTTACAAGAGAAAAACAACTCCATTAAAAAATGTGCAAAGAACATTAACAGACACTTTTCAAAAGAAGACATACATGTGGCCAACAGACGTATGAAGAAAAGCCCAGTATTACTGATCATTAGAGAAATGCAAATCAAAACCACAATGAGATACTGTCTCACACCAGTCATAATAGCTATTATTTAAAAGTCAAAAAATTACAGATGCTGGCAAGGTTGAGGAGAAAAGGGAATGCTTATACACTGCTGATGGCAGTGTAAGTTAGTTCAACCATTGTGGAAAGAAGTGGGCAATTCCTCAAAGAGCTAAAAACAGAATTACCATTTAACCCAGAAATCCCATTGCTAGGTATACACTCAAAGGAAAATGAATCATTCTATCATAAAGACACATGCATGCATATGTCCACTGCTGTGCTATTCACAATAGCAAAGACATGGAGTCAACCTAAATGCCCATCAATAACAGACTGGATAAAGAAAATGTGGTACATATACACCCTGGAATACTATGTAGACATAAGAAGAACACGATCATGCTCTTTGGAGGAACATGAATGGAGCTGGAAGCCATTATCTTTAACAAACTAATACAGGATTAGAAAATCAAATACAAATGTTTTCTTAATGCTTAATCAAGAGAGTGATACAATTAAGGGTCAGTTTATCTGCTTTTCTTACTTTCATGCATATGAGTACAATTAGCACTCTCTCTGAAAGAGAACACAGGTTGAGTATCCCTCTTGGGACCAGAAGTGTTTCGAATTTTGGATTTTTTTGATTTTGGAATATTTGCATTATAACTACCAGCTGAGGATCCCAAATCCAAAAATCCTAAATGCAAAATATCCCCATGAGGATTCTCTTTGAGCAACATATGTCAGTGCTCAAAAAGTTTTTACTTAAAGCATTCTGGACTTCAAATTTTCAGATTGGGGATTCTCAACTTGTATACAATTCCCTCTAAAAAAATGACAGTAAAAACTTTTATTGAACACTTATAATGTGCCATGTGTTAGGCATTGAGCTAAGCAGTTTACATGCCCACTACCACTTACTCTTTAAAGAATCAGGATATTTCCTGCTGAGAAATACCAGCAATATTATGAATACTCAATAACATTAGCTATTATTATGATGTAGCTGCATCGGATTTCCCTTCTTTTATAGTTTGCATGTTCTTTTGTTTATTCAAGCAATAGCTGAGGATCTATGACTTGCCAGGCAGGGTTCTGAACAATTTAGCAATCTTAATCCTGTCCTGTTTCTGCCAAGCATACCTTTGAGGGAGTCCTGGAAGATTTACATCTAGGAAAAGCTTTGCTAACAGTTTTGAATATCTTTTAATTTTACAGCATAGCTGAGACTTAAAGAAGTACAGCATGAGGGAGGAAAGGCCATATAATATAAGGACCTTTTCTGCATTTTGACATACTTAACTAATCAGTTCTCTATAAATGAGATTTATTTCCTAACCAATGACCATTCTGTGGCATCGAATCCCTTCCGTACCATACAACTTGGCATTTATTGATTCAGTAATTGCTTCGTGTTTTAACAAGCAACCCAATTAGTTCATAAACCCTATCGGAATGGAGGTCATGCTTTATACACCAGGGGCTGGCAAACTTTTGTAGAGGAAGAGAGAGAACATATTTCAGGCTTAGTAGGCCATATGGTCACCATCACAACTACTCAACTCTGCTGTTGTTGCATGTAAAAGCAGCCATAAATAATACGTAAATAAATGGGTGAAGCTGTGTTTCAACAGAACTTTATTTAAGAAAACACCGGGCAAACTGGATTTGGCCCATTCGCCATGTTTTGCTGACCCCTGCTTTATCCCACAATACGTCTTACTGTGCTAGATAGATAGCTGGCCTTAGTAAATATGTCTTGCTTGAAAGAGTCAATGGCATTGAAAAAGAAAATATAGAAAACAGGAAAATTGGAATGCACTTATTTCTGTCCTAAATCAGACTCCACATGAGCTACAGAGAATATTCTTCATGCTGATTTAAGGTGTTTTTCCCTTGGGAAAAGGGGAAAAAAAACTGATGAAAAAGTAATATTGATGGAGAAGCTTAAACTTTGGTGCTTGGCATGGTACTTTTTCCCTTGCAAATACAAAAAAGACATTTGTACACAAGGTAGGAAAATACACTGGAAAAAAGAACCTATTCGCAGAGGAATGCACCATAGAAACCCAAATATGAGTGTTCCGAGTAGGCAAAAGTGGTTGGAATTTTAAAAATGAGATTTTTTAAAAATAAGATGAACACAAGATGGTAAGTCCCAAAATCCATCTAGTCATATACATGTGTGTTTTTAATGAGATTCAGAGCCATTTCCATAAAATGAAAGAACAGAGTTAATTTACTTCATTGAAAACATGAAAAGTCCTAGAGTATCCTAGAACTGAGAGCCTTTTATTATTTTCTCATGGCTGATAATCATGCTCATCTGCCAGCAACAAGCAAAGCTCCCGGTTATGGTGGAAACAGAAGCCTGCCAGCCGCATAAAATGACAGCAAAGGACCACATCATTTTTTTTCCAACACAAAATTGACATATGAGTGCGCAGACACAGTGCAGAAGCTCCTTCATAAAACAAAGTACAAAACAAGTACAGCTTTTCCTCAGACTCTGCTGAAAAGAACAAGTATTTTGGCAAGAGGAATCCTTGCTGTGACCTCCATTCTCATTCAATCGGCAAATATTTAATGAGTGCCTACAAACTATCCAGCACCTTTGCTTATACTGGAACCACATGGCTCTTTTAAGGCCCCTCATTCTTCTTGAGGGGAAAACAGACGACCACCATTTGAAATAGTAAATAGGATAATTACAGTTACTGATAAGTGCTAGGAAAAAAAATAATGCATTGGTGGTACAACATGCCAGGTGCAGGGAGGATAATATGCAGTTATTTTGGCCTAAATTGGCCATAAATGGCTTTTCTGAAGAGGTGACATTTGGAAAACCTTTGGAAGATTTCATGTATGGGAATGCCGTGATCTGATTTATGCTCTGGGAATTTAGCTGCTGTATGGAAAATGTACTGTAGTAGGGTGGGAGTGGGTGAAAGAGTGAAAGCGAGTAGTCCTAGTAAAGATAATGGTAGCTTGGTCTTGTGACACAGTAGTGGAGATGGTGATAAGTGACATAGTTGAGAGATATTCTGAAGACAGATTTGACCTGGTGAAAGTTCATAGTGACTTGGGCTACAGGGGATACAGTGAAGAAAGGTGGTAAGCTGATGAACTTAGAATTATTATGAAGTACACATGTCGACCTTTTCAGAAGACTTTATGTGAGCTTTGAAGAAAGGATAACTTCTAGGATTTTGGTTTGTGCAGCTGGTGCCATTTATTGAGAAAAGAAAGTCTTGTGAAGGAGCAAATGTGGCAGGTGATGGGTGGTGGAAATCAAGAATTCTGTTTTGAACATGCTAAGACTTTCTTCCCAGCCCATGTCCAAAACTATTCTTAAGAGAGGAATTTGGATGTTATGTTCCTCCAGCTAAAAAAATTATCTCATAGCTCTTTATATTATTCAAAAGATTAAATACAAGACAGAGGTTCAATAAATACATGATAAATGAATTTATGCAAAAAATCATTATCTGCGGTGGTTAATTTTATGTATCTACTAAACTGAGATACTGATATTTGGCTAAAGATTATTCTGGGCGTGTCTGTAAGGGTGTTTATAAATGAGATTAACATTTACATCAGTAGACTGAGTAAAGCAGACTGCCTGCCCTAATGTGGTGGCCTCATCTAATTGATTGAAGACCTGACTAAAACAAAAAGACTGAGTACGAAGGAACTCCTGTCTGACACTGATCTTTTCTGGTCTTAGGAATGAAACTAAAACATAAGCCCTTATTTGATTTCAATCTTCCAGCTTTTAGTCTGGAATTTACACCATCAGTTCTCCTGCTTCTCAGGCCTTTGGAACCACTTATCAGCTCTCCTGGGTTTCCAGCTTATTGACTACAGATCTTAGGACTTCTCAGCCTCCAGAATCATGACAGCCAGTCCTTTATGATAAATCTCTTTCTACACACACACACACACACACATGCCCTATTGACTCTGTCTCTCTGGAGAATCCTAATATACCAACTATTTTTCAAAGTCTAATTATTTGAAAATAATTTCATGTTAGGTAAGAAGCATGAAAGACTTTCAGGGAAACTCTTTTATTTCAATTTATTATCAAAAACCAGCTTCTCCATCCTTTGCAATTTCAAGATTCAGCCCTTGGTGTCTCTACTCCCTTCTACATGGGTACCCCTACTTGCCTGATAATCATACTCTCAAGAAAGAAGAGTTCAAGGATGATAACTGATGCATTACTAGAGCATGCAAAACTATTACCAGTTCAGAAATAGGAGGTGAGTTCTTGGATCAAGAGATATGGATTTCATATCTATGGGAAAATAATATTCCCTTACCAAACATTTTGGACTAGAAATAGTCTTTACACATGAGTCTACTATATTAATACCCACTTGTAATAAATAGAAATTTTATGTTTCCTTCTTCTCCCCACTCTCTTGTTCCCATAATCATCAGCGCTGAAGAGCAATACAAATATTTTCATTCGAATAGTACCTAGCTGGCTATCACACATATCTTTTAATACAGTGTGCAGCCTATATATGGCTCTTTAAATACAATGTATATTTAATTATACAATGATTACAGAGAATTATTTTTAAAGATAACTTTAAAAAATGATATAAATAAAACCCTTTAAGTCACTCATGTTTTCATCCAGAAATAAGCTCTATTAAACTGTTGATGTGTATTATACTCCTACCTAGAGACTAGCATTTCCCTTTTGTTTAAACATAATAAATAATACTCAGTCTTTCATGATGACACATGCAATTCCACTACTACCACCCCTATCCTGCCACCAAGATCTACCTTGCACCTCCTCATTTGGATCCCAGACCAATGCCATGAATCAAGTTGCATCATAATCCAGCTTAGAAAGGCAGTATATATCAAATGAACTGTAGGACCTAGCCAACATGTATCCACAGGAGGCAGGAGACTACGTATGAGAGAGTGCTAGATCAAGAGGAGACAGAACCTGTGTTTGCATAATGGAGAGATTATTGATATGGGAACATTCTCTCACAGGATTTAGCACCCCAGAAAGACTACATGAGAGGATGCTAAGACACAACTACGGTGGTTCCTGGAAGCATACAGAAAGCAGTCCACATTACGTGAAATAGAAATGCCATAACTGCTATGGCAGATAGAAGTCTTATCACAGACTATACAACTAGAAGTTACTGGCCTAACAGAATGATGGAATGGCCTATTGAAGGCAGAGCTAAGACTTCACCTTGGAGATCATATCCTGTAATCCACTCTCTAGGTCACAGAATACACTGTATATCAATAACCATTAAATAGAGCTATGTTTCCTATGTTTCCCAGAAGTACAATTTATGGGTTCAGGAACCGAGGGGTAGAAATAAGAGTGGCCCTACTTACTTATCGCCATTCTTAATAACTGACTCAGATAATATGTGCTTCTCACCCTTGCAAACTCTGGGCTTTAGAGGTACTGACTCTTGGAGGGGGAATGCTTCCACGAGAGGAAACAGTAGAATGAGTTTCATTACACTTTTAGCTACTACTGTCACCTGGTCACTTCAGGCTCCACATGTCAAGAACGCTATACAGGGAAATAAAGCAAAGGTAATTGATCCTGATCAATAAAAGGAGGTAGGGCTGTTACACAATCGGATAAAGTAAAATTATGATTGGCATCCAAGTGATCCAGTAGGGTATCTCTTGGAACTCCCTTGCCTAATTTTGACTGTAAATAGACAAGCACAGCAGTCATAGCCATAATACAGCACCCAGGGCCTTATAGGTCCCATGGATACAGGTCTGTGCTATCCCATCAGGTAAACCCCTAGAACAAGAGTTCAACCAAGCATAAGAGGAGTCCAGAAAAAAGAACAGAGAAGGGAGATGAGAATCAGTTGGCTCCTGAGAACAGCTGTAGCAGGAGTTACAGCTTTTCCCACTAACTTTTCTCTTTTAAGTCTCCCCAGAAAAGACCAGAGAAACTAACAGGATCATAGAGGAGCTGTTACAAGAACTTATTATATAGAGGAAGTGGATCTGAGTGTACAAAACATGGCCTGTGGCGCACTACTCAGAGCCTGCCTTCAGGACTAATGTACTAATTTCTCCAGCTGCTGGAAGTAGTGGTTTGTGGTACTCAGTTGAGTCCCTCTCCAACAACTGCTACCTTGGCCAAGGTCACGCCCTCTTCCTGAGAGCCTCCCCCAACCAATCAACGGTCAGTGTATGGGTACAAAAGATCAGTCCCCTTTCCCCAAGGTGATTCAACCCTGAAGGGCCATCCCAGCTCCAGAGCTCCTTAAGGGATCAGCTGAAGCCCTTGTGCAACTATATTTTGCCTGATCCTACACTTCCTCCACCCCGATAGGTGCTGAACTTCAGGGCATTCCCTAATGAATTTTTTGCACATGAATCTCTATCACAGAGCCCTTTTTGAAGGCATCTGACCTAAGGCAAACTGGTAAGACTGTACTAGTACCTAGTATCAGCTGATTATTAAATCTGGATACAGCACAGTAAAAGACATTAACTCCTAGAGCTGGAAGGAATTAGGAAGAACATCCTGTTCAATGGTAAACAGTGTTTTCTCCAAAGATGAATTTAGAAAAATGGCAAGGGTAGGGAGGAAAGGAAGAAAAGACAACTGACAAATATTCAGAATAGTTTGTATAAATCCCTTGGACAAATATCTTTATAACAGAATACTTACTTTAGTGATTAGAAGAATGTCATTGAGAAAACTGGCAGTGATTTTGAAGTCAGCTGTTTTGATTGTAACAACTAGGGGGTGGCTACTACTGGCATCTATTGGGTGGTGGCCACCAAATGCTGCTACAGATGGGACAGTGACTGTAGAGCCCCCACAACAAAGAATTATCTGGTCCAAAATGTCAATTATGCCAAGGTTACAAAAGTGTGGTTTAGAGGTTAGCAGCCACATTATGCTCATTATCTCATTTCATTCTTGGGATTACTAAGATTGTTTAGCATCTCCAGATGGCAATAACTATGTAACTGGAGAACACTGGAAGTTTTTTACCCCCTTAATCTCTTCTCTATAAACCAAGAAACATACAAGCCTATTTATAAAGCTTGATTTGCAGGCTCAAGACTGTGCTTCACTAAGATATTCAAATCATTCACTGTATTAAGAAATTAAATCATGAATTTGCATCAGAGAAAAATTATCTGCACATATATGAATTCTGCATTTACACAACTTTTATTCCCAAAGCTTGATTCCCATAAAGAATGTCTACGTTTTATGTGACTACTGGTAGATTTGATCTATCTACATACCATGTTTTTTATCGTTTTGGTTTTGTCTTTTTTTTTTTTTACCCCTGAAGGACAGATTCAGTAAATATTATCATCAATGCTAATACACAGCTCTGTCAAGAGAAGTATGGCTTTTATGAGTGTTCTCTCTGAAGTTCTGATTCTGCCACTTTCTAGTGGTGTGACCTTGCACAAGCTATCTAACCTTTCTCAAAGCTTTAGTTTTCTTACCTGTAAAATGAGGATTATAACAGGATCTGAACTACTAGCCCTGTTATAAGCATTAAATGAGATAATGCACATGAATCACAGTGACTGGTAAACCATACACAATGAATAAATAGTGGCTGTGTTAAACATTTGTTGCTTTTTAGCTTCCAGCATTTATTTCTCCTTCCTAATGACAATTTGAATTCCATTGGGGAATTAATTCTTACTCACTGGACTGTAACTAGGAATCCTGCCTTTCACTAGCAAAGAGGCAAGCATGTGACCCAAACTAGTTCAATTAGATGCTTCCTCCTTGGAATTTACATAGTCAGTGGAGAAACAAAGATGCAGGAATGGTTAGTTTTGTTCATTCCTAGTAATGGTGCCCTGGCCAGTTTATTTTTCATTATGAGAGCACTGTTAAGGCTGCTGCTGCCTCTGAGTTTCCAAAGATGTCTTGCTTCTTTACCCATTACCAAGTCTGGTATACAGCTTCCTATCATGCCTCTGATAACCTTTCAACAAATTCCCTTTTCCTAAAGTTAGTCTGATTCAGTTTCTATTGCTTGCAATTAAAGGACCCTATAGATACAGAGTAGCTATGTATCACATTCACATCAAACATTTAAACTGTTTAACTAAAGTAAATACAAATAAGACTTAGTAATTTGTCTCTGCTTCCAGAAATATGTGTAATCATTAATTTGCTTTTTGATTTTAGCCCTAATACACATCCACATACAGTGAAATCTACATAGGAATTGAAACACTGTTTACCTAAAGGAAATTTTCCTGTGGCGCAAAGGTGCTGTTTAAGCAGTCATCTCTGTTTGCTCTCCGTTGGAGCACTTCTTGGTAGGACTTCAAGAAATACAAGGCAAATGAAAAGAAACTGAATGTCTGACTGATGTTTGATTGCCTGAGTCCACAATTCTATAGGCTCACCTGAGATCTTAAATAAGAATCTTTTCAGATACAGAAGCTTTCATTATTTTTGGCTTCACTTCTGTGTCTTGGATGTGGTTGCTCTTTGGGGTATAGCTGTGGGTCAAGACTCTGTGTGGTAAATCTGAATCTGCAATTCCTGGCATCAGGATCATTAGGAGAGGAGTGCAGCAGTAGTAACTGCATGTTTCTTAAACAAGGAAAGAAATGAATAATCACTTTGGGTTTTGCTTTACAGATGCTTTAACTTCATTTTTTAATGTGGAAAGATGAAACTCAATTCTCTCCCATCCAAGTACTAACCAGGCCCGACCCTCCTTAGCTTCCGAGATCAGACGAGATCGGGAGCGTTCAGGGTGGTATGGCCGTAGACGAAACTCAATTCTCTGAGTTACTGTAGCATTCGATTCGCAGAATAACTCTTTCAAGGACATGGAATATTATGCCTCTCTCCGGTAGGTAGCAATAAGAAGAAGCCAGTAAGATGGGATTTCAGTGCAGGGTACAAAAATCTTTTCTTTCCCATCACTTCATATACAAAATTCAGCGTTCCATTAGTTTTCCCGCATCCCAAATTAGAAAAAAGGCAAATAGTAATGATTCTTTGAGCAGGGAAATTTGGAAAAACTAAAAAGAAGGGCAAAGATTTTCTGGTCCTTGCTGAATAATTCTGCCAAATATTTTGGCAAACTATTTATTAAAAAACATAAGGTGAAAATTAGTTCATTCCGCAGATACTACAATGGGTAACCATTGTTATTTTCAGTACTATTGGAAATAGCTTTTAGAGTTTGAAGTGTATAGTTTAGGTTTTTCTGTAAGTGCCACTACTGATCTGTCATTTTTGTTGCAAGTTTCTAAAACTGAAATGACAACTCCAAAAGAATTTCTACAGGTAAATTTATAACTACAGAGAAACTGTTCTACTAAACTTCACTTAAGTCAGTTAGCTGCCAGACACGGCATTTTTTTCTTGGTCTATAATATAAGTGAAACAGATGCGTAAGAATATTTTAAGTGACATAAGCATGCCTACATACGTAGCTTGTGAAAGAAAGAAGCAAACATAAGGAGCCATGTAGACTTTGAAGTGTAAGAGTAAAAGTAAGGATACCAGTTAGGAGGCTCTTGTAGAAATCAGGCAAAACATAATAGCTTGGACAGTGGTGACAGCAAGAGTTGATAAGAGTTCACAGCAATATATATCAGATTCTGAATATATATTGAAGATAGATTTCACTATGTATTGGATATGAGGGAAGTGGAGACAGAAGTCATTTTTAAAATTTTAGCTTAGAAATTACTATGCTGGGAAGTGTTCTCTGATCCATTAGAGCTTGGTTAATTCCCATTTCAGGGTCCTGGTATATGGCCAGTATATAAATATTCAACAAATATTTGTTAATGAATGAATAGAATAAATAAAATCTGTGCAACAGAACTCAAAACTCTTGTCAATAAAAGTATTGGGAAACATTTTCTTGGTATAGGATTGTACAAAAACTTTCTTCTTACTAGAGTGCTTTTTTTTTGAAACTTTTTTAATATTCAAAGATTGATTACAAATTTCATTAAATTCCCTTCCATTTAAACTGTAATTACAAATTTAATATGATTCTTTTGAATATACTTATTTTTTTTTGGAGTTGGAGTCTTTTTTAAATTAATTTATTTTATTATTTTTACACTTTAAGTTTTAGGGTACATGTGCACAATGTGCAGGTTAGTTACATATGTATACATGTGCCATGCTGGTGTGCTGTACCCATTAACTCATCATTTAGCATTAGGTATATCTCCGAATGCTATCCCTCCCCCCTTCCCCCACCCCACAACAGTCCCCAGAGTGTGATGTTCCTCTTCCTGTGTCCATGTGTTCTCATTGTTCAATTCCTACCTATGAGTGAGAACATGTGGTGTTTGGTTTTTTGTCCTTGTGATAGTTTACTGAGAATGATGATTTCCAATTTCATCCATGTCCCTACAAAGGACATGAACTCATCATTTTTTATGGCTGCATAGTATTCCATGGTGTATATGTGCCACATTTTCTTATTCCAGTCTATCATTGTTGGACATTTGGGTTGGTTCCAAGTCTTTGCTACTGTGAATAGTGCTGCAATAAACATACGTGTGCATGTGTCTTTATAGCAGTATGATTTGTAGTCCTTTGGGTATATACCCAGTGATGGGATTGCTGGGTCAAATGGTAATTCTAGTTCTAGATCCCTGAGGAATCGCCACACTCACTTCCACAATGGTTGAACTAGTTTACAGTCCCACCAACAGTGTAAAAGTGTTCCTATTTCTCCACATCCTCTCCAGCACCTGTTGCTTCCTGACTTTTTAATGATCGCCATTCTAACTGGTGTGAGGTGGTATCTCATTGTGGTTTTGATTTGCATTTCTCTGATGGCCAGTGATGGTGAGCATTTTTTCATGTGTTTTTTGGCTGCATAAATGTCTTCTTTTGAGAAGTGACTGTTCATGTCCTTCGCCCACTTTTTGATGGGGTTGTTTGTTTTTTTTCTTGTAAATTTGTTGGAGTTCATTGTAGATTCTGGATATTAGCCCTTTGTCAGATTAGTAGGTTGCGAAAATTTTCTCCCATTTTATAGGTTGCCTGTTCATTCTGATGGTAGTTTCTTTTGCTGTGCAGAAGCTCTTTAGTTTAATTAGATCCCATCTGTCAATTTTGGCTTTTGTTGCCATTGCTTTTGGTGTTTTAAATATGAAGTCCTTGCCCATGCCTATGTCCTGAATGGTATTGCCTAGGTTTTCTTCTAGGGTTTTTATGGTTTTAGGTCTAACGTTTAAGTCTTTAATCCATCTTGAATTAATTTTTGTATAAGGTGTAAGGAAGGGATCCAGTTTCAGCTTTCTACATATGGCTAGCCAGTTTTCCCAGCACCATTTATTAAATATGGAATCCTTTCCCCATTGCTTGTTTTTCTCAGGTTTGTCAAAGATCAGATAGTTGTAGATATGCAGCGTTATTTCTGAGGGCTCTGTTCTGTTCCATTGATCTATATCTCTGTTTTGGTACCAGTACCATGCTGTTTTGGTTATTGTAGCCTTGTAGTATAGTTTGAAGTCAGGTAGCATGATGCCTCCAGCTTTGTTCTTTTGGCTTAGGATTGACTTGGCAATGTGGGCTCTTTTTTGGTTCCATATGAACTTTAAAGTAGTTTTTTCCAATTCTGTGAAGAAAGTCATTGGTAGCTTGATGGGGATGGCATTGAATCTATAAATTACCTTGGGCAGTATGGCCATTTTCACGATATTGATTCTTCCTACCCATGAGCATGGAATGTTGTTCCATTTGTTTGTATCCTCTTTTATTTCATTGAGCAGTGCTTTGTAGTTCTCCTTGAAGAGGTCCTTCACATCCCTTGTAAGTTGGATTCCTAGGTACTTTATTCTCTTTGAAGAAATTGTGAATGGGAGTTCACTCATGATTTGGCTCTCTGTTTGTCTGTTATTGGTGTATAAGAATGCTTGTGATTTTTGTACATTGATTTTGTATCCTGAGACTTTGCTGAAGTTGCTTATCAGCTTAAGGAGACTTTGGGCTGAGACAATGGGGTTTTCTAGATATACAATCATGAGCTGGTTTTTTGAAAGGATCAACAGAATTGATAGACCGCTAGCAAGACTAATAAAGAAGAAAAGAGAGAAGAATCAAATAGACGCAATAAAAAATGATAAAGGGGATATCACCACCAATCCCACAGAAATACAAACTACCATCAGAGAATACTACAAACAACTATATGCAAATAAACTAGAAAATCTAAAAGAAATGGATAAATTCCTCGACACATACACCCTCCCAAGACTAAACCAGGAAGAAGTTGAATCTCTGAATAGACCAATAACAGGCTCTGAAATTGTGGCAATAATCAATAGCTTACCAACCAAAAAGAGTCCAGGACCAGATGGATTCACAGCCGAATTCTACCAGAGGTACAAGGAGGAACTGGTACCATTCCTTCTGAAACTATTCCAATCAATAGAAAAGAGGGAATCCTCCCTAACTCATTTTATGAGGCCAGCATCGTCCTGATACCAAAGCCAGGCAGAGACACAACCAAAAAAGAGAATTTTAGACCAATATCCTTGATGAACATTGATGCAAAAATCCTCAATAAAATACTGGCAAACTGAATCCAGCAGCACATCAAAAAGCTTATCCACCATGATCAAGTGGGCTTCATCCCTGGGATGCAAGGCTGGTTCAATATACGCAAAGCAATAAATGTAATCCAGCATTTAAACAGAACCAAAGACAAAAACCACATGATTATGTCAATAGATGCAGTAAAGGCCTTTGACAAAATTCAACAACCCTTCATGCTAAAAACTCTCAATAAATTAGGTATTGATGGGACGTATCTCAAAATAATAAGAGCTATCTATGACAAACCCACAGCCAATATCATACTGAATGGGCAAAAACTGGAAGCATTCCCTTTGAAAACTGGCACAAGACATGGATGCCCTCTCTCACCACTCCTGTTCAACATAGTGTTGGAAGTTCTGGCCAGGGCAATTAGACAGGAGAAGGAAATAAAGGGTATTCAATTAGGAAAAGAGGAAATCAAATTGTCCCTGTTTGCTGATGACTAGAGTGCTTCTTATAGAATTGGTGCTACATCACCATTTGTATAAAACAATTTATAATCACTTGTATTTTACTATGAACCACTATAGTTAAATAATAGTGTATTCTTCAGCAAATGGTGGTAACTCTTGAATGACTATATAAAGGGCATCTAATAGCCTTACACATTTAAAAAAATTGAAGAACCTGAAGTATATATGAGAATTTCTATGACTTGTTTCATTTGAAATGAAAGATTTGCCAGATCATACACTTATCAGACTCTAACAGATTGAGTATAAAAATAAAATTATGGCTTCAGAGATAATAGGGGGAGGGCAGGGAACATTCCAAGTGCTGACTGTTGATAATGCAGTTCAAATATCTATGGAATACATCTATTCTGAGAATCTTTTAAGTTTTTACTTGGTTTTATACAGTAAATACATACTCTAAGACATAGTTCTTGAAATAGCTAAACTGACCAAAGTTAATAGGTAGATAAATTTTCATTAGACTCAAAACTTGGTAACGGTATCTATTTATTTAGCTATTTGCCAATACCTTCTGTGGTGCTATGTATGAGCCTAGTGAGAAATGACTCATATCTTATCATTAAACTATTTATTTTTGGCAGAAGCCTTGAAGCAAAGAAGATGATGTATCTAAAGTAAGCAGGATCCTCAATGAAAAATGAGGTGCCCCTAGAAGAAAACCTAGGCAATACCATTCAGGACATAGGCATGGACAAAGACTTCATGACTAAAACACTAAAAGCAATGGCAACAAAAGCAAAAATTGACAAATGGGATCTAATTAAACTAAAGAGCTTCTGCACAGCAAAAGAAACTATCATCAGAATGAACAGGCAACCTACAGAATGGGAGAAAATTTTTGCAATCTATCCATCTGACAAAGGGCTAATATCCAGAATCTACAAAGAACTTAAACAAATTTACAAGAAAAAAAAAAAACCCCATCAAAAAGTGGGCGAAGGATACGAACAGACACTTCTCAAAAGAAGACATTTATGTAGTCAACAAATATATGGAAAAAAGCTCATCATCACTGGTCATTAGAGAAATGGAAATCAAAACCACAATGAGATACCATCTCATGCCAGTTAGAATGGCGATCATTAAAAAGTCAGGAAACAACAGATGCTGGAGAGGATGTGGAGAAACAGGAACGCTTTTACACTGTTGGTGGTAGTATAAATTAGTTCAACCATTGTGGAAGACAGTGTGGCGATTCCTCAAGAATCTAGAACTAAAGATAGCATTTGACCCAGCAATCCCATTACTGGGTATATACCCAAAGGATTATAAATCATTCTACTATAAAGACACATGCACACATATGTTGACTGCAGCACTATTCACAATAGCAAAGACTTGGAACCAACCCAAATGCCCATCATTGATAGACTGGATAAAGAAAATGTGGCACATATACACCATGGAATACTATGCAACCATAAAAAAGGATGAGTTCATGTCCTTTGCAGGGACATGGATGAAGCTGGAAACCATTATTCTCACAAGAACAGAAAACCAAATACTGCATGTTCTCACTCATAAGTGGGAGTTGAACAATGAGAACACATGGACACAGGGAGGGGAACATCATACATCTGGGCCTGTAAGGGAGTGGGGGGTAGGGGAAGGATAGCATTAGGAGAAATACCTAATATAGATGACAGGTTGATGGGTGCAGCAAACCACTATGGCACATGTATACCTATGAAACAAACCTGCACATTCTGCACATGTACCCCAGAACTTAAAGTATAATAATAATAATAATAAAAGTGAGGTGCCATATATTCCAAGTGAAAACTCTTTGCATTACTGTTAATAACTGTATCTGCTTAGAAGGGAATTAAATGTATACTACTTAACCAACAGAAGTTGCTCAGGCTCAGGGTGGTTTTACGTTTGTGAATTTACTACATTCAAGGATTGATTTTTCAGCTATGCAGGTACAGATTTATCAAAATACCAGGCATAGATCTTTTTCTTAAGAGAAGACTTGAAATAACTCAAGTTCATAAAACTGACCATAAAAGCTTCCCCTATGCTAGAAACAAATCACAATCAGAAAGCTGCTTAGTGAGCAAGGAATTTGAACAAACAGAGTTAGATTAGATAAATGTTTAATGGCATTCCTTCATTAAGCAACATTTCATTAAACATCTGTTATGTTTCAGGCTTATTCTAGATACTGAGAATACAGCAGTGAACAAAACAAATGAGGTCTTTTCTCTTTTAGAGCTTATATTTTATAGTAGGGGGAAAAGATAATTAACAAGAATTTTTGTCTGTTTTATTTACTGATATATCCCTAGCACTTAAGAGTGCTACCTAGCATATATTAGGTATTTGATGGTATTTGTTCACTGAATGAATAGTGAATGATAAAAACATGAACATAATTTCAAAGAGTTTTATGCACTAAGAAGAAAAAATAGAGTAGTGATACTATAAAGTAAGGTTGGTAGGAGAGAAGATAGCTAATTTATACTGGGTGGTATGGTAGATTAAATAATTATTGATCAAATATTTAGCCATTCTTTTTCCTCACCTCTGTGGGAGAAATAGGCTTTTTCACCTATTGATGTTGAGTTTGACTGTGTGACATGCTTTGGCTTCATGGTATATGGAATGTACGTCCCTGCTTCTTGACCTTGGACTTGACCATATAACTTGCTTTGGAGATATCAGCAGATAAGGCATAATCAGAAGCTTGCAATGTTTACCTGTTTGGGCTTTCTCTCTTGCACTCTGCTCTTGACATGAGAAGAACATGCCTTGTTCACAGTTTTCTGTGCCCATCACAGTTTCCTTTTGAGTACTGGAAATTCTGTTCAAGTGGCTTAATTTCTTTCACTAAATTCAAGGGCTTTCATTTTTGAATATGTATGCTATTTTCAATAACCTCTCTACTGATGTGTGAGTCATAAATATAAAAGGAGTGAATGAATCACATTGTACACTGGTGGAGGAAGTGAAAGAGATTTTTACTAACTATGATTATATAATGATGCAGAAAGGTATATGTAAAGTTGTTCTTGTTGTTCTTAACAGGATTCTTAAGTAACTTAACCTGTAAAACCAACTAAGAGCAGAAGGAGAGGGCATGTTTGTTTAGTTCCATGGCTAAGCTCCACCCCAGACAAGATATTTTCATTTTCAACACATGATACATAAGGAAAGGGAAATGTGAACCACAGGAATGGAGTAAATATTGAGGACAAAAGCAAAGGGTTGAATACATTATAGTCACACTAAAGCTTAAACGAATAAGTACTCTAAACTACAAAGGAAATACTAAGCCATAAAGTTATTTTAAATGTCATATATCCCCACAGATGAATAAAAAGTATACATTTAAATTTTTGTAAAATGGCAAAGAAGATATGATTAATATGCTCCTAGTACAAGGTATTAATCACATTATACATGCAAAAATTAATAAAAAACCATAGTGAAAAGAATAGTGGGACTATTTTATGACTCAATCTCAATGTACGCTGCTGGATATACAGCTTATCCTGGAATATTTTACTTCAAATCAGATGTTCATAAAATCATCCACATTGGAAAAAAAGTCATCTGGAAAAGATTCAAATGGGTTGGTGGAATCTAACTTTGCAATTTAGTAGTATAATGTCCCGAGCCACAACCTTCTCTAACAACCAGAACATCAAAGATGTGATAAGAACCTGTGAAAACAGATACCAAAAAACCTGTATACTTATTACAAAGTTAAGATGGAAATTTCTCCTTGTTCAAGCTTAACATGTGTGACTTAATTTGATACAGTACTCTGCTGTCTAGTTTCTCATTATTTTCTTCAGTTTTATACTTACAATCAGAGTTGAAAAATAGCAGAGGCCATGGATAACAGGTTCAATAGCAAGAAAATGGGGAGAAGGAGAGAAGAAACAGATTAATTGATTAGAGGGACACATAAATACAGAGAACAGATGATGCCAAGGACTCAAGAAACAATGGAAATCTCATCTAGATGAATTTAGTAGAAAGAAATTTAAGCTCTTTTTTTAGTAAACTTGGTGGCCATCATTCTATGAAAAAAGTACTATAACTAACATATATGAAATATCCCTGAGTAATCAGGGGGAAACACTGTTGATTAACACAATGATAAGTTTAATCACTAAAATTTACAAAAAATCCTACATATATATATATATATATGTATATATATATGTATATATATACCTTATATATGTGTGTATATATACCTTATATCTACATATATACATATATATATATACCTTAAGAACTATTTTTAGTACAACTACATAGAACCCAGAACCTAATCTATCCAAAGTATTGCATATCCTTTGAACAGTGTTGTATAACTTAGGCATTAACTGTAGAAAATCTCAGATTACTTGAAAAAGAATATTATGGTGGCCAAGCTGCAAACTTTCTACAAAATGATGAACCTAGCAATTGCTAATGTTCTGTTCTAGAAAGAATGAAACCCACCTAGTTTAACTTCAAAGGATCAGTTTTAGAATTAGCCAAAAGACTAAAAAGCTGGAAAAATATTTCTTCAGTAACCACAGCAACTTGGGAGACTTTACTAAAGAATGTAGTGGCCATTTGTAATGTTTTCTGATTTTTGATATCCTCCCTATGTTTAAAAAATTTCCAGCCTTATGAGGTATGATTCCCCTGCATAAAACCCAAGAAAACTCAGTTATCTAGCCTGCTCTGCTCCTATGGCTCCACTAACCAGAGTCAAATGTGCGAGACTTTGATTCATAAGTGAGGAATTAGAGGTCTCTGTATAGCATCTATTTTGCTCGTGACGATGATAATAGAAGTATCCAAATTTGGGGGATGGAAATGATTGAACTATGCAATAGTTTATCCTAGTGCTTGATGGGAATGTGCAGCAAAGAGTGGTTTATCTTTAGCCAGTTTTGCAGTGTAGTTTTTGCTATTGTTCATAGAAGCTTAACCTTGGTTTTCCAGCCCTCTAGCAACTTGGCTGCTTACCTAATATCGTTTTAATAAACTCCTCTGCTGCTTAGTCAGATGAAAGCAGCTTCTGTTATTTAAAAGAAGAACCCTGGTTGATATGTAAATTGGTTCTAGAAGTGGTTGAAGACAATATAACCTCAGGAAAATCGGAAAGATTTTAGTTACCTGGTTCTGTAAGGGTCGATGGCTGTAAAGATTCAGCTGGTATTCTTTAAAAAAATGTAAAATCTGGTAGTTCATAGTGTGCAGCAGCAAACTAACAAATTATTAACTATAGCCACTTGAAATAAAGTGACCACTGAAGGCAAGACTTTCAGTGGCCCAACATTTGGATACTTCTATTACCAGATCCAGGGGCTATGGACATGGAAAAATATGAAGAGCATGAGGAATTCAAAAACAAAATTAGTTGATCCTAATTTCACACAACAGCTTCAAAAAGATAATTAAAGTCTCACGATGCTAAATTCTCAATTCAAGCAATAATCAAGGCCACCAATTGCTCTGTAACATTGCTCCTCGAAAGGTAAAAGTCAGTGTCTGTGAACAACAGTGTCTGCCTTCTGTAGGCTACGAATGCTGGTGGGCTACGTGGCTTCCAATGTTATGGGACGCTGAGGTAGCAAAACTCAAGTAGATACACCTAATTACAAGAAGCAGGAGGAAATGGTTACTGTTACTGCTAGCATGGTTGAGTTGTAATCAGAATGCTCTGACCTGCAGGGACATCAGCTTTGGGTACTTGATCAGATGAATCATATGAACAAAACTGATAGGCATCCAAAAAAGTCCAACTTAAAATTATAAAAATATCCAGACTTAATGAACAAAGGTCTGACATGAGTTACTACAACAAAAATTTGTAATGTCTTCCCCAATGTCCAGTCCTGAGTCAATTCACATGCCCACGGTTTTTTGAGTGAAGAGGAGATTGCCCATCCTTGAAAACGTCTATCGCAATAATATCACAGATAGAGACTGTAAATCCTCAGTTTGGCCTTCCTCATCAAGGTAGCTATACTGGAGAAAGGGAAATATCAGGTCTTTTGTGTATCATTGTATAGTAACTCTGAACCAACACTAAAACTGAAGACCTAGAAGACCACGTTGTACTACTGGTCAGAATGGATGCTTATCAGAATCAAATGGTGAATGAAGTTTCCATCTGAATCTGTCTCATATCCAGCCCAACTGGGCCTTAAACACATAATATAGTTATCTCCAGAGTATGCAGTAGACATTGGAGGAAGTGATTTATAAGAGACCTAATCAGACAGTGATTTCAAATGCAGCTGCTGTTGTAGATGTGCATTTAAAAATGTACATCTAGAGCTCTTAGGACCAGGTATACAACTATTCATCTGGCAAATGCTTTTTCCCTGTATCTCAATACACAGAGAACACCTATAACAGCTGTGTTTATATGACAGGTACAATAGTAAACCATTTCATCTTAGGGTTATATAAATTATTTGGCTCTGTACTACAATATATTTCACAAAGATCATTAGTGTCTCACCATCACGTATGACAACTACATTGATGACATATGTGTCCAGAACCTAGAAAGCAGGAAGTAATAAGTGAAAGTATACCTATGAATCCAGTAAGGTGTAAGATATAGCACATGAAAATATAAGAACTATACCTCAGTAAAATTTCTGGAGGTCCAGTGATCTTGCATATACCAGGATAGGCTTTACAAAGTTAAAGGCAACTTAATGCACCTTGTACCTCCTGCTACTAAGAAAGAGACACATTGCTAGGTGGAACTCTTTGTGGTATTTATACATTAGTTTGGGAATCCTGCTTTAACCTATTTACGAAGTGACCTGAAAGCCTCTAGTTGTGAGTAGGTCCCAGAAAAAAAGGAGGCTTCCTTGTTAGTCCATACTATAGCACATCTACCTGGCCCTAATTAACGACCAATAGATTCAATGGGTGTTAGAACCGTTAGCAGTTTACTGAGATGCTATGTGGAGCCTGTGAAAAGTTCTAATAGAGGAATCCCAGCAGAAATCTCTAAGGTTTTGGAACAAAGTCATCAGGCAGGGAAATCTTATCCCTTTGAAAAGCAGCACTGAGCTCATTGCTAAGTGTTATTCAACATTGTATATTTGGCTGTGAAAAAACAAATGTGACCTGATCTGCCTAAAATGAACTTGTTTTAGCTAATCCTCCAACCTATTAAATTGGGCATGCTCAAGTAGAAAGCCATATCAAATGACTCTCATATACATGGACAGAGATTCAAGATGATTGTGACAGCAGAAGTTGAATGATCAGACCAATCACGCTCTCAGCAATACTTGTCTTGTGGTTGGGTGCCACAGAATATTTCAGGTCATCCTCTTTGTAGACAATGAGTGAGCACATTTTTGTTTTTATAAGAGATACCTTCAGTATTTTATTATTATTTTAGTTGTATTACTGTTACTATATGTAAGTATGGAAGAAGAATGTATTTTGAAGGTTAGGTTTAAATATTGGCAATGGGAATATATTGATGTTAGACAGCCAGGTAGTGTATGTTTATTAAGTTTTCTTGTTTTAGCACTTTTTGAAAATCCTTACATGTTGGGGCATATTCCATGCATGTAAGTTCTGTCCCTCTAAGGTAAAATCCACAAACAGCATTTTCTTAGCTGCTTTTGTGTTCAGTGTACATATATACACATGTGACCAAAGTTCTACTTTTCTTCCCAATTTATCTGGGTCTTACTGAAAAGGCACAAATTAGATGGAGCCTGTAAAAACAGAAAGGTATACTAATTCCTGTTAGTGGAAAAAGTAATAATTCCTAGAATATTATATGAAAAATAATGTGTAAATTATTCAATCAGTCTTAAAAATTTACCAAGGTAGATCCTACAATCTCACCATATAGTTTGCAGTCAAACAGAACCAAGTTAAAATCTTGACCCTCGTACTGATTTTGGGTAGTTATCTAATATCACTGACTCTCAATTTTCCTTATCTGTAAAATGAGGTATTATTTTAGGGTTGTTGTGAGGATTGAGACAGTAAATATAAAGCACCCATTATTGTATGTTGGACAAACTTGGGACCCAATAAATGGTGGTTCTTTTATATATTTTTTCTAATACAGAACATTTTACTTAAACAACTTAAATTTCCATTTAAGTTGAGTATTTCTAGGTATTTATTTAGTTTTGAGGTGATAACTGTGGTACTGTTTTCTGGGAGCCTATATTGCTGAATTTTTACAGCAAGCAACTTTTTCTTAGTTGAACAAGTTCACATCTTTGAAACTCTTTTTCAAGGTTATATCTTTAATAATTCACTCTGAACAATGATTTCCATGAAACTATCATCATCTTTTCCTAAATAAGAAACAAAAACAACATAGTTTTATAGTTAAAGTATATAATAAAATATAGTGGTGACATGTGGGCTGTTCTCTTGGCCAGTCCTTTTGTATATTACTGAGTACCTCCTGCCCTTCTAGTTCTCTTAGCTGTTCATGTTACAGCTGTAACTCTTCACTGGTTCTAACTACTGCGGGCTTTAATAATTTTCTTCAGATATTGGCTTCATCCTAGATAGTAAAGTGAAATTGCTAGTATACAGGAAGTTGACAAGGGCCACTGGTGTGATATAGTAGAAAAAGCACTGGATCAAATTTTAGCTATGCCATTATTAGATGTAATCTCAGAACCATAATTTCTACCATCTGATTTTCTGGTTTACAAAAGAATAATAAACATGCAAGTGATTATAGATTATAAGAGTCAAATAACATATAAAAAAATCTTTATAAATTTCAGTTGCTAAACAAATATGTATCATTATTAAGAATACTAGGATAAGGCTCTCTTTATTGGTTATTTTATTTGTCCTTGTAGCCTAAGCACAGTGCTCCAACTATTAAGGGTATTCATAACATTTCTTTATAGAATGAAAAAAAAACATTTATACTGAAGCTTCTCCATATGCAGTTTAAGATGGGATAGTGAAAAGTATACACAGATGCATGCTGTGTAAATATATAGATATAGACAGATTAAGATGCTGGCAATTTGTAATACCACTTCATTCTCCATTTCCTTCTAAACAGTTTAATAGCATGGGCTGGAGTGAGAACAGTGAAGGCAATTGTGGTCCCTTAATAAACGGCTCACAAATAGAGGTCCTTCAAACAGACACACACACACACACACACCCCAACACCTTCATACACGCACACACACATTTTGATATATACACACATACATACACCTACACCTTCACACACACACACACACACACACACACACACACACAAAATTTTTGACTTCTAAGGATGGCTGAAGGGCATATCAATATAATAAGCCAAAAAAATTCCCTCCATGTCTATTGCCCCCAATAATCTGAGCTTTATGAGCCAAGATATTCTAGAATTGCATCCAAAAGGTATATCAAGAATCTAGAAAATAGACTTCTTTACAAAAATTTTTATATATAAATTTGCTTATTCTTTTAAGAAACCAAATCCTTTGGCTTCTCGCAGACTCTTTTTCCTCTTTTTATTATATAGCCTAGTCCACATTTTAGTTTTCATTTGACAGAAACCAAAAGTCCATCCTGATCATCATAGGCTTAAGTGATCTTCTGGAATTCTGTTGTCAATTGTTGTCACCATAATGCATTTGGTCTTTATTCAAGCACTGTCATGTGCCAATGGTGTCTATTATTGCTTGAAGCTATTATTTTGACCTCACTTAATTCGTTAAGGAGTATGTTCTTATACTTTCCTTCCAAAATAAGGCTTTAAGCTTTAAAAGACATGGTGCTTCTGGTCTCGCACAACTTTTTTGATCTACCTGGGTTCAAGTGATTCTCCTGCATCAGTGAATATATGTTTTTTAAAGTTAAATCATTTTACCAAAGAATAAAGTTAGTTGTCATTATAGTAATTCAAGAAGTGATTACTTAGATGAACAATTTTGAATCATTACATAAAAAGAGATAAACATTTTCATATACTAGATGCCTCCAAAGTCTTTATGCTCACTGTACTTCGATTAGAATCCACCCAAAAACCAATGAAAAATACCGCATTAACTGCTACACCAAACTAGTTTTTATGTGTACATACATAAATTTACATTTTGATTTTAAGTTAAAACGTATTTTATATTCCTTGCTACAGGAATAATGGGATATAATCTAAGCATTGGGCTTTATCTTTAACATCATCTCAATTACCACAGTTGAAATGGAAATGACAAATAGGGTCATCTCACCAAAGTGTGTGATTGTCCACATGTCAGTAAGTTTTTTCAAGATTATTCTTATGCAAGTGAAAAGAGCAAAACAAGACAGACCATCAAGAAGACTGATAAAATATAAAGTGGGAGATAGCAATAAATTTGATTTTAAAGTATAATTTGTGAAATAAACTGTCAAAGAGTTTAAGATAGAGAAATAGTGAATAAGTTTTAAAATCATAATTATATTAACCTTAAACAACTATAAAACCTTTAAAATCTGTTTACTTCATTGCCTTCACTAACCTCTCTTTCACATCAAATTTCCTAAGCTTTTAATTTAAGAAGAAGGATAAATTTGTGACCTAGTTGAAACATCATTTGGCAAGATGGTTAGTACTGGTTATTTTTCTAAATCCAAATATTTTTCCATTTGTTTATTGTGCCACCTGAAATGGATATAATTATACAAATTTGGAAGGTAAACTTCTGATGATTTAAATTACAATATAGCTTATGTAGAGAAGGCTAAATTCCCTTTGGCATCAAAAAATGAGGTACAACCGAAAACAGGCAATAATGAATGTAAGGGTATAGTATGCTTTTTAATATGTGTTGGTTACATAAAAGCATTTTCAAATATGAGACCCAAATCAAAAGTTACAAGGGCAGATGCTTTAGACCACAGATGCTGAATTGTTAATGAGCTACTTCTTGCACATACAACTACACAGCCTCCTCCAGATTGGATAGAAGCAAGAGTAATTAGGATGAGAAAGGGGCAGGAAGATGGGAAATGTCAGGAAAGCGCCATTTTCCTACACTAATTTATAAATACCATACAATGTAACTACTATGATGCAACTGATTTATATCAAGAATTAAAAATCTCTCAAGGGGTTTATCAACTGTCAAGGAAAATGTTACTCATAGTCTTAACAGAATTTTAGGACTTTAAGAGTCATTAGAGATCAGCTAGTCAAACTTCTATATTTCTAAGAAGAGAAAAGTAAGGGACCATGAAATATTAAATAACTTATATTGAAATAATGGTTTATTCAAGTAACTGTGTAACTGGTCAGAACATAAGGAAAGTTCATTTTGTCTAAATATTATCTTTTAATAGTTGGAGATGCAAACATCCAAGAATATTGCAGCAAAACTGGATTAAAAGAGCCCTTTTATATTTAAAAAATTCTGACAATGCCTTGACCACAAAACCTTTGAAGTAAAGAAAATTGCTTCTTACTCTTCTCTAAAAACCTAAATTAAAAGGATACTCTAAAGTGAAGGTTATTTTCCTGGAGGTGATTTAGAAAACACAGGCAATAATTTTGTTTCTTAAGAGGAAAAATAGTATTTTATTACATTTGGATGAGATTTTATTTTTTAGGAATCACTGCTTGGCTGTGAGTAGTTGTTGCTTGCTGAATGTTATTCACACTTCCTCCCTCATAGCAAACTCATGTGTAACAGTCTTAACTTGTGGGATGGGTTGGAACTCTTCGTTCTAATCCAAGGGCTGTCGGTCATTATAAACCACAAATTATTCCTCCCTAGGGAAGTGTCAGGGATGTATTCTTTCCCATCTCATTTTTCTGCCATCTCCATTTATAAAATAAAATTTATGGCACTAATGATCAGATATGATGTATTATAATATCTTATCTGGCAATTAATACATAGAGAGAAATCTTCTCCAGAATAGCACCTAAGAGACTTCAATTGTCTAGTTACCCTGAGGCATAAGAAGCGAATAAAAATTTTAAAGGGCTGAAAAGAAGAAACTTTCCCCGCAAGATAATTTTTATGATTTAGAACAGGAGTTGGTAAACATTCTTCTTTAAAGAACCAGATAGTAAATATTTTGGGTTGTATGTCCCAATGGTCTCTCTTTACTCAACTCTGCTATTGAAGCATGACACCAGTTAGTGGACAATACAAAAATGAATGGATGTGAATGTATGTTTCAATTAAACTTTATTTATAAAAGCAGGCAGCAGGCCGGATTTGACCCATGAGTTGCAGTTTGCAACTTCTGCTATAGAATTTACAGTGATTGAAGAGAGTCTGAAACCAAAATTTACATTTTAATAAAATACAATATGGTCTTTCAATGCAAATCACTGTACTTGCAGGTACCTTGCTGATCCACAGAAAGATTAAATATATTTTTAAATCTTTTTAGGTTTTCCTGTTTGCCTTTTCTTCTCTATTATATAAGTTATATTGGAAATGTCTAAATCCATTAAAATTAGATAATTTCTGCCAAGTTCAATGGAAAATTTATGAGTGTTAAGGCTACAGATTACCTTTTTGATTCCACAGTAAAGTTGTAAATTCAATGTAAGGATCCTTTTTTTTCCTCAGGATTAGCATGATAGATTTTACAGAGAAATTTCTAAAAAGATTATGAGGTAGAATTCTTATAAAAAGGCATTTTTATTACTAAAACTAATTCATCATTGATTTAAATTATCTTTCTGGTTGATCATTTTAAAAGCTCTCCTTATTTGGATATTTTCATTACATAGTAATTTTTGGTTATGATTATGACTCGGACTAATATTACAAGTACTATGTATCTGACTTAGTAAATAATTTAGGATGTAATTTGAATGTAAATTATAATTTACTTAATTAGTACATGTACAGGTAGCCCCTTTGTCCTAAGATGTTTAGACCAGACGAATACTAGGTATTTTTAAAGTTTAGTGACATCTCTATTGATTTCACACATAAAAATTGGTAAATAGCATTTAAAATTAAAATTTTCTCAGAATTCTAACTTTAATTCTAGTATAATTCTGAGTATAATTTTACTACTTAACAGGAATGGATAACTGATTAAGTACTTAATTTCAGATACACAGAAAGAGCTATGTAACCTCATATAGCAATTTGTAAATCCATTGTGTTTTATATTGTTAGATAATCCATAAGGTATTTCAAAAATTAAGCATTTTGAATTTTTAATTCTGTGTTTTTCTGTCTTTTAAAAGCAAAAGACTAAAAAAAAGATGTAGGGGAAAAGTATTCATTTCAAACTTTTAATGAATTTGGTAAAAGTATGATGATGTCTAATGAAAGACTACTAGGACAAAGGACAAAAAAGGTAGGACCTAATACAAGTAGACTTCTTCCTTCAAAGATTTTCAAAAACTTCAAGAACAGAAGATTACTTCACAAACTGAAATTCAAGCTCAGTTGGAAACAAGGTCTATCGGGCTTTTAAGTTGTCTAATGTTGAAAATCTCAAGTTGACTCTTTAGTTTAAAAAAAAAAACCTGGAGAAGGGAAAGGAAAATTTTTATTCTGGAAATGTGTTCTCTGATGTAAATAGAAATCCATCTTCCAAAGGAAGAAGTAGATGTGAGTTGCCCTAATTCAGTCTTTTGGAAACAGACAAGAAGATTATGAATTTGCTAAAAAACTTTTGTTTTTCCTAAGTATTAGTTTATAAGCTCTGAGATATCTTTTTTGTGTATGAAAATTTTCCAAACCCCAAGATATTCATAAAAATTAACTCAAAATACTGAAATACATTTTTGGAAAATAAGAATATAGAGAATCTCAATTTTTTAAAATTTACATAATAAAGAGGTCTAGTAATTAGTAATTAGTTCCATTTCAGATCATTTATTTACTTTTTTATAGCTTTTCTGTTTGGAAAGATACAAACATTCAAATATTAAAAATATGCCACAGCATGTATTATTAATAAAAGTTTAAAATCCCAAAGTGGAAGTAATAAATTTCCTACAAGTGTACTGATTAAATCAGTTTTAATCTTCTGTGAATTAGTAACAGAAGAGAAATAAAATTTTAGAATTCACACTTTAAATTCAGAGGAAATAGAACACCAAACACTATTCTAAAGAGCACATTTTTTAATTAGCAACAATAATGCTGCTAGTTATTTCTACTTTCTGTAAATAATGTGGTAAAGATGATAAGCATAACACATATTTATTGAGTCCTTACTGTAGCTGCTATTTTATTACATGTATTAATTCATAACAACTCTGCAAGGTAGGTATTAGATTTATTCTCCTTAATATATAAGGAAACAAGCAAAGAGAAGTAGAACTTCAGTGCAAATGAAAGCTAATGTCACGGTTTCTTGGCTGTTATTTTAATAATGTCTCTACATGTGGTAACTGATTTACTGACTAATACAAGTGAATACTAGGCCTTTAGTATGATTTGCAAGAACACACAGACTAAATGCCAGAGTTCATTGTCAGCTCTTTTCAAAGTTAATTTGCTTCATGTGGGGAACAGATATCTCTTAAAAAGGCATTTCTTATTCTTATTATAGGCACTTCTTATGGTAGCCACATAACTCCCTTTGACAAAAAAAGTAACATTATCTTTAAAATTCTTTTAAGAAAAATCATCCATCTCAACCAAAGAAATGTTAGTCTAAAATAATCTTATGAATGAGTTTGCTTTGTTATATAATTTCTCATTCAGATTCAGAGCTCAAATAAAGATTGGCCATATACTATTAAGACTAGACACTAAAAATGTGGAAATAACTAAATATCCATTGACAGAGGAATGGATAAAAAATGTGGTATATATGTACAACAAAATACCATTCAGCTTTAAAAATGAAGGAAATTCTGCAATACAGAACAGCATGGATGATCCTTGAGGGCATTACGCTAAGTGAAATAAGCCAGTCACAGAAAGACACATACTGCATGGTTTCACTTATACAGAGTATCTAAACTAGTCACATTCATAGAATCAGAGTGGACTGGTGGATACCAGGGGATTGGGTTAGAGAGAAACAGGAAATACCCAAACAATGGCATAAAGTTTCGGTCAAGCAAGATGAATACGTTCTAAAGCTCTGCTGTACAACATTCTACATCTATAGTCAATGATAAAGTATTATAGACTTAAAATTTTAAGAGGAAGAACTCATGTTAAGTGTTCTTACTAACATAAAATAAACAATTTTAAAAAGAGATGATAAAAAAGCAAATACCCACAAGAAGTCTTTGAATTTATTTGATACTTAAGTTCTTTCACAATTGCAATCCCTGTATGCATATAAAATGTACCTATAATTCCTTTGCTGCATGATTACTTTTGAACAAGATTATTTAAAATAAACTCTTTGTAGGTACATATGGAAATAGGAGTTTTCTGAGAACATAATACTCCTTTGAAAAGCCAATTGACTCTTTGGCCCAGAATTTTCCCCTTAGAAGGTTAGGCATCTATCAGGAATTTGTTTGAGTGAAAATGCTTTTAAAAACACTCTGAGGTAAACTGTACAAAGATTTAATCCAATATAAAATGTTTCTGTGAGTGGTTAATTTATCTGGAAAGACTACTTAGGAAGTTTTTACTCTGGTGACAAATTCTCCTCTGTTGAAACCTAACTGTAGCCATCAAGAGATGGGGATTTTCTTTGTATCATACCAAATTTGACTTCAAGTTAACAGCACTGGATGGCTGGGCACGGTGGCTCATGCCTGTATTCCTGGCACTTTGGGAGGCTGAGGTGGGTGGATCACTTGAGGTCAGGAGTTCAAGACCAGCCTGGACAACATGGTGAAACCCCATCTCTACTAAAAATAAAAAATAAAAAAATTAGCTGGGCATGGTGGCAGGCGCCTGTAATTTCAGCTACTCAGGAGGCTGGGGCAGAAGAATTGCTTGAATCCGGGAGGCAGAGGTTACAGTGAGCGGAGATCGCGCCACTGCACTCCAGCCTGGGCAACAGAGCAAGCCTCTGTCTCAAAAAAAAACAAAAAAAAAAAGTATAGGACTAAAGTAGTGTCATGAGCTTTTAGTGCACTTCTTGAACTGCCAACTGCAGGATAATATCTTATCGTATATTTTCTATTTATTTTGCCATTTTGACCACCAATTAAGTTTAGCTATTGTGTCAAATTTCCTCATACACACTGTTTATGTGTGTTTTGTTACATTATGTAATGCAATATATGTTTGCAATATATTATATATTTGCACAAATAAATATATTTATATAATATGTAACATATACTAAACATATAAACATCCTAAAACACTGCATGTGAAAAATTTTATTATATATTTTATTATATATATTTATTACAGAGAAGATTACAGTAAACATCTAATCTTAAAGAGTTTCTTATTTTGTGTATTGCTTAGAGGACTGAAGATTTATTGAAACGACAACAAATCAAGTTAGATCCATTAGTTTCAGCTACTCTTCAGACTAACATTAATAAAACCACATTGTATGAAAATGCTATTTTTTTCAAAGCTTTAATATGCATCCTAAATTCTTACAAGCATATTCTGAGTTATGGTTTTGAAATGGCACTATGGCAGAAGAGCCTGAATTTGCTAACTGTAATTATGTCCATTAGAACTACAGTGGTGTTAATACAGTCAGAAAGCTTAAATGATGCATACACATGTCTATGAATATTATAAGAAATTAACAAATGTATGGCAAAAGACTAAAAATGTAGAACTGTCTATTATCTTTGTAAGTAAAGCTAAATTGGAAATGATATAGGTTATTTCTAGGAGTCTACCAACAAATTATTCACTGTTGTTTTTGCTGACAGATGGGATTTATGTTTATAGACATAACTATCAGAATACATAATTATATCAGAAAATATCCTTAGATGAAGATCCGTAAGTTAGATGACACAGGACATTTTAAATATTTTACAATTTCATGTTATTGTATGGAAGTCACTGATTCAGTTTATTGAAGCACAAATTAAAACTCTTCAGGAGATACTTACCCTTTTCTGTTCTTTTATATACTCTATCAATTCATCTCTTGTTCTTTTCACTGCCTCTTCCACAGCCTTTTCACTTCGTTTCTGCTCTTCTATTATTGCTGCCTTAACAGTTTCCTGTTTGTGGGAGAAGGCAAAACAGTCAGGGAGGTGAGCACTATGACATATCTGTGTCCATTTCATATAAACTAAACATCCTCTTCAGCGGGTTTCAGCTCATTCTATTCAAAGTGTACCTTTACACAGGAATAAGAACTTACAGAATCTTTTGCGATCTGTTAGAGAGTTCACAGAACTCCCTTTCCTAAACTGAATGAAAGGAAAGGAACGGAATATGCCATTTATTGCAGGGAGTGCCTGACAGATTCCAATGGCTTCCCTACCAACCTTTCATTTGATGTTTACATGATTCATTGCCTTCCTGTATTTTGCACTATCCACATAAGACTTCCAACTTGTGTTTATTCTTCCAAGAACACTCTAATGCTCTACCTGTTTTATTCACGTTTAATTTTGCCATCACACAATAATCAAGTGTGGTCTGAGTGGTAAGATTTACAGCTAGTTTGGTCCTCTTGCCAGATTAAGATGTTGTGAGCTGGACACCATAAGTAAGAGGTAAAAATTCCACCCAGTGTGCTAGTATTTGAAATGAGAGATCTAGGGAGGGAAATGGTACTCTCCGTTTATTGAAATAGTAATCAGGTAGCTAAGAGATTTCAGAATTGCAAATACAGAAAGCAAACTAAAATTCTGTAAAACTACACTTCTCAGGAAGTCATGATATTTTCTGCTACAATAGTGTATCATGAAATGGAATGAATGCCACGAAGCAAAATCTTTTCATTCCCATCTATAGGTACCACCCTTTTTTATTGGACATCAAGGCAATCAATTGGAAAATGGCTTGAGTTTCTCAGAATATTTGCTTCAGTTTTGATTCTTGGAGGTTCTTCACTTTGTGGACTGTATGTATGACTTTGCTTAGTTTTCCCCAATTAATTTTAGATATTTATATGTAACTCAGAAAATATACAATAATATAAAGGATTCTCTATTTCAAATCTATTTACTGTAAAAAATGGAAACGTGGAAAAATACAAACACAAAGAAAGACACACATATATATACTTGGATATACAGAAGATGGGATAAACTGTACATACTATTTTCTAAACTCTAGCATTTTTTACTTATATCTTGGACATTTTCTGGAGACATTACATATTCTTCTATAATATGATTTCCATTATATTATAGGGTTGCATAATAATTTATTTTACCAATTTTTAATCATGGGTATTTTGGTCACTTTAAATAAAATACAGCAGTGACAAACATCCACATATGTATCTTTGTGCTACATTGCAGATATTTACTTTGGACCAATTCAAAAAGTGGAATCATTTTTGGCCAAAGGATTTAAACTCAATGTATCTTTTGACATTTTGTACAAATTTCTTCTTATAAGAAGCCCATAGGAATGGCTAGTTTCTTGCATCCTTGATAACATTTATTTTCATCGGTTTTTAGAATCTTTGCTTACTTGGGGAGAATGACATCTCATTTTACCCTGTACTCTTAAAAGATTACCAAGTGATGTTGAGCATTTAATTTAGAAAAATATTGGCAATACACATTTTCTCTTGTCATTTGCTTGATCATATCATCTATCACTTTAATATTGGTATACTTATTTTTTATTCCCTTCCTTATAAAATTAACTGAAAATTCTGAAAGTCTTTGAAAAATTTTACTATTTTATTTTCAATCACTGAGTACATTAAATGTTGGTTCCATTGATAGAGTACAAAGTTGTTTCCATAATTATTTCAAAAGATTAAAGTTGAAAAACTACAGCAATTTATAAAAGAAAAACATAAGAATAAAACTATTCAGCATCTGCTTTTATAATTCTTATAGACTTCACACTTGCAAATTTAGAATTTGAAGTTATTCAAATTTAGAAAGGTAAAAATATTACATACATACTAAGCTCTCTGAAATATAACATGTTAATACTTCTGTAGTGAAGAATATGAATATTCACATTATATGAGTCAATTAAAAGTATAAATAGCTTCACATTAGTTCAAGTCAGGTTTTGCTAACAGGTGAGTTACAAAAATCCTTAGTTTTCAGGGCTTTTGAAATTTTACAACTGCAGATAAAAAACTGTCATAAGAAACATATTAACTAAAAGCAAAAGCATCAATTTAAATAAATGGGCTATAACCAAAAAAACATGAAGAGTTAGTGAAAGTTATTCAGTTAACACTTTTGAGGGAGCTGAGTGTTTATATTATTAATACCTTCTCAGTTGAAATTTTTGAGGCTCTACCATTCCTTGTTTTTGAGCTGGCAAAAGACCATTTACAGTACAAAATTTCACTTGATTCTATCCTCCCCAGTTGGGAGTTAACTGACAGTCAAGGTTGTGAAGCTCATCCTTAAAAACTGCTCGTGTATAAATTATTCCTTTGAATGTTATATAAAAGTAAAGTTTAAGCCTTCTACTTTCTAATCAGGCCCAATTCTGAATTAGTAAGAATTGATTAATAAATTTTGTTTGCATGTATGCAAGTGGTATGTGAATATCTGCTTGCATGTTTTGTTGGTTCCATAAATTAAATATATCATTCCTGGGAGTCATGAGAATTAATCTAAAATAAAACATAGCTTGCAAGGAATGAAGAGTTGCCACCAATAAGTACATTCAAACAGGAAATTCTGAAAAGTATTTTCCAAAATATTTTGGTGATCACACCACCACTGAACATGGTATATTCTTTAAGGAAGGGTTTCTCAACCTTGGAACTACTGACAATCCTTTGCTGTAAGGGAGCATCCTGTGTGTAAGCAGCATACCGAGTATCTACCCACTAGATGGCTTCCAGTTGAGAAACACTATCCTAAGGTGAATAGTTTGGAATGAAAGGTACTCAATTGCACATATGTTATGCTGTATTTGTGAAAATACATCAGTCATATTGGAATGTTTTTATCTAAAAATATATGCAGAAACATCCTATCCAAATGATTATCTAACTAGTGTTCAAATGTGGAGAAAGTTCCATACACTATTTTTTAAAAATAAATGACTGGAATCAGTTTTTATACTGTTATGATTAAATAGGTCATGTTGAATGTCATTCAGGGCTAAAAACTTATATGATATTTTACATAAGATGTTATAATTTCTCTCTATTGCTTAAAAGTATAGTTATGCTTTAGCATCCATTAAATCTACTATACATTTCAGTAATCACAGGATCATGAACAAGTGAAATGCCTGTGGTTGTCTGCCCTTTATCAGGGCAATTTTGTTAAGGACTGTAAACATAGCTCAGTTATTTACAGAAAACAAGTATCACCAACTAACTGAATTCTGGTCTGTGGGTTGTAAACCATAGTACTATGTGGTTGTTTAATTTTCTGGGGAAATTGTGTGTTTTACTTATTTTTTGTTTCTACACAAAATACATGCATATTATCTAATTATGTATTACTCTAAAAGTTACATGTGGTTGTAGAAATGCACCTTAGAAAATGAGTGATAAACTAGAGGTGCAAAGATGAGATACACATGTTATGCTGGGTTCTAGTTTGTGGTTGGTAGCAAACTCTGTTCATACATTCATTTGTCAAATATGTCCTAAATACCTACTTTGTGTAAAAAATAGTCCCAAATACTGAAAGCTATATTTGTCTATCTCTTGATGAGTTTCTAATTTATTTGTGAAAATAAAATATAAATGCACAGAAACTGAAATAACCATACACTAAAAGAGATCTTAAAGGACGTTGTGGTTAATGAGTGGTGGTAATACTAGTTTGAGTTATAAGGAAGGAGATATCACAATGTCTACAATGGTCAGAGAAAACCTTAAAAAAATAGGTGAGCTCTGACTTGAGGTTTAATAGGTGTTTCATGTGTGGAAAGAAGATGAAGACTGAGGGATCTGTGTAAGTAGCTCATGTTGAATGTTATTTAGGAATAATAGTTTATATGACATTGGGTATAAGAGCGCAAAAATAGAACCTGAGTATATGTTTCAGGCTTCTGGCTACAGATGAAGGCTCTCTTGGGAAAAGTGGAAAGAAAGAAAGGCTGGGACCAGGTAGTGGGGACCCTGAAGGCTTAAGGCCGATGTCAGCAACCCAAGATGTAAAGAGCTACCAATAATAGCATGGAGATTGGTTGCTCTTCTTGCCATTTATATAGTCTTTACATGAGTCAACAAACACAGTCTTTATTAATCTCATACATAGTCATCCTTGCCTCACCCCATATGATATATCAAAAGTAAATAGGCTAGCTCATTAGCACAACATCTTCAAAAGTTGCTAACTCTTAAACATTGGTCTAAACAAAGAAAAGGATAGACACATTTTCATTTCCTTCCTATATGGGCAAAGTATTACTCACATAGTATGATCCTATGTCCACAGCCAACAACTCTGATCTAGGGTATATATGCCAGAAATTTGTATCTGTGTTTGTAATCCCAACATACAAACAGAACAGTTTCATTTATTTTTTTTATATATTTTTATTATACTTTAAGTTCTAGGGTACAGGTGCACAACGTGCAGGTTTGTTACATATGTATACATGTGCCATGTTGGTGTGCTGCACCCATTAACTCGTCATTTACATTAGGTATATCTCCTAATGCTATCCTTCCCCCTTCCCCCTACCCCACAACAGGCCCCAGTGTGTGATGATCCCCATCATGTGTCCAAATGTTCTCATTGTTCAATTCCTACCTATGAGTGAGAACATGCAGGTGTTTGGTTTTCTGTCCTTGTGATAGTTTGCTCAGAATGATGGTTACCAGCTTCATCCATGTCCCTACAAAGGACATGAACTCTTCCTTTTTTATGGCTGCATAGTATTCCATGGTGTACATGTGTCACATTTTCTTAATCGTGTCTATCATTGATGGACATTTGGGTTGGTTCCAAGTCTTTGCTATTGTGAATAGTGCCACCAAAAACATACATGTGCATGTGTCTTTATAGCAGCATGATTTACAATCCTTTAGGTATATACCCAGTAATGGGATGGCTGGGTCAAATGCTATTTCTAGTTCTAGATCCTCGAGGAATCGCCATACTGTCTTCCACGATGGTTGAACTAATTTACAGTCCCACCAACAGTGTAAAAGTGTTCCTATTTCTCCACATCCTCTCCAGCACCTGTTGTTTCCCGATATTTTAATGAATGTCATTCTAAATGGTGTGAGATGGTATCTCATTGTGGTTTTGATTGGCATTTCTCTAATGGCCAGTGATGATGAGCATTTTTTCATGCGTCTGTTGGCTGCATAAATGCCTTATTTTGAGAACTGTCTCTTCATATACTTTGCCCACTTTTTGATGGGGTTGTTTGATTTTCTCTTGTAAATTTGTTGAAGTTCTTTGTAGATTCTGGATATTAGCCCTTTGTCAGATGAATAGATTGCAAAAATTTCCTCCCATTCTGTAGGTTGCCTGTTCACTCTGATGGTAGTTTCTTTTGCTGTGCAGAAGCTCTTTAGTTTAATTAGATCCCATCTGTCAATTTTGGCTTTTGTTGCCATTGCTTTCGGTGTTTTAAATATGAAGTCCTTGCCCATGCCTATGTCCTGAATGGTATTGCCTAGGTTTTCTTCTAGGGTTTTTATGGTTTTAGGTCTAACATTTAAGTCTTTAATCCACCTTGAATTAATTTTTGTATAAGGTGTAAGGAAGGGATCCAGTTTCAGCTTTCTACATATGGCTAGCCAGTTTTCCCAGCACCACTTGTTAAACTGGGAATCCTTTCCCCATTTCTTGTCTTTGTCAGGTTTGTCAAAGATCAGATGGTTGTAGATATGCGGCATTATTTCTGAGGGCTCCGTTCTGTTCCATTGGTCTATATCTCTGTTTTGGTAACAGTACCATGCTGTTTTGGTTATTGCAGCCTTGGAGTATAGCTTGAAGTCAGGTAGTGTGATGCCTCCAGCTTTGCTCTTTTGGCTTAGGATTGACTTGGCAATGCGGGCTCTTTTTTGGTTCCATATGAACTTTAAAGTAGTTCCTTCCAATTCTGTGAAGAAAGTCATTGATAGCTTGATGGAGATGGCATTGAATCTATAAATTACCTTGGGCAGTATGGCCATTTTCACGATATTGATTATTCCTATCCATGAGCATGGAATGTTGTTCCATTTGTTTGTATCCTTTTATTTCGTTGAGCAGTGGTTTGTAGTTCTCCTTGAAGAGGTCCTTCACATCCCTTGTAAGTTGGATTCCTAGGTATTTTATTCTCTTTGAAGCAATTGTGAATGGGAGTTCACTCATGATTTGGCTCTCTGTTTGTCTGTTATTGGTGTATAAGAGTGCTTGTGATTTTTGCACATTGATTTTGTATCCTGAGACTTTGCTGAAGTTGCTTATCAGCTTAAGGAGATTTGGGGCTAAGACGATGCGGTTTTTTAGATATACAATCATGTCATCTGCAAACAGGGATAATTTGACTTCCTCTTTTCCTGATTGAATACCCTTTCTTTCTCCTGCCTGATTGCCCCGGCCAGAACTTCCAACACTATGTTCAATAGAAGTGGTGAGAGAGGGCATCCCTGTCTTGTGCCAGTTTTCAAATGGAATGCTTCCAGTTTTTGCCCATTCCGTATGATATTGGCTGTGGGTTTGTCATAAATAGCTCTTATTTTGAGATATGTCCCATCAATACCTAATTTATTGAGAGTTTTTAGCATGAAGGGTTGTTGAATTTTGTCAAAGGCCTTTTCTGCATCTATCAAGATAATCATGTGGTTTTGTCTTTGGATCTGTTTATATGCTGGATTACGTTTATTGATTTGCATATGTTGAACCAGCCTTGCATCCCAGGGTTCAAGCCCACTTGATCATGGTGGATAAGCTTTTTGATATGCTGCTGGATTCGGTTTGCCAGTATTTTATTGAGGACTTTTGCATCCATGTTCATCAGGGATATTGGTCTAAAATTCCTTTTTTTGTTGTGTCTCTGCCAGGCTTTGGAATGAGGATGATGCTGGCCTCATAAAATGAGTTAGGCAGGATTCCCTTTTTCTATTGATTTGGATAGTTTCAGAAGGAATGGTACCAGCTCCTCCTTGTACCTCTGGTAGAATTCGACTGTGAATCTGTCTGGTCCTGGACTTCTTTTGGTTGGTAAGCTATTAATTATTATTGCCTCAATTTCAGAGCCTGTTATTGGTCTACTCAGAGATTCAACTTCTTCCTGGTTTAGTCTTGTGAGGGTGTATGTGTCCAGGAATTTATCCATTTCTTCTAGATTTTCTAGTTTATTTGCATAGAGGTGTTTATAGTATCCTCTGATGGTAGTTTGTATTTCTGTGGGATCGGTGGTGGTATCCCCTTTATCATTTTTTATTGCATCTATTTGATTATTCTCTCTTTTCTTCTTTATTAGTCTTGCTAGTGGTCTATTAATTTTGTTGATCTTTTCAAAAAACAAGCTCCTGGATGCATTGATTTTTTGAAGGGTTTTTTGTGTTTCTATCTCCTTCAGTTTTGCTCTGATCTTAGTTATTTCTTGCCTTCTGCTAGCTTATGAATGTGTTTGCTCTTGCTTCTCTAGTTCTTTTAATTGTGATGTTAGGGTGTCAATTTTAGATCTTCCCTGCTTTCTCTTGTGGGCATTTAGTGCTATAAATATCCCTCTACACAATGCTTTAAATGTGTCCCAGAGATTCTGGAATGTTGTGCCTTTGTTCTCGCTGGTTTCAAAGAACATCTTTATTTGTGCCTTCATTTCATTACCCAGTATTCATTCAGGAGCAGGTTGTTCAGTTTCCATGCAGTTGACCGGTTTTGAATGAGTTTCTTAATCCTGAGTTCTAGTTTGATTGCACTGTGGTCTGAGAGACAGTTTGTTGTTATTTCTGTTCTTTTGCATTTGCCGAGGAGTGCTTTACTTCCAACTATGTGGTCAATTTTGGAGTAAGTGCAGTGTGGTGCTGAGAAGAATGTATATTTAGAACAGTTTCATTTAAAGTTACGAGAAAGTCTTTTAGATTGTCCAAAATTCCATTCTTACTAAGAAAAACTAATATTCAGTAGTATGGGTAGAGTGATTTGGGGGTAATGAACTATACTCCTTGTATTGGATGCAGTTTTTTTAACCAAAATACTAGGAAAATGAGTGACATTTTAGTGTCTGTAACAAGCAACCCCCAAAATGAAACAAGCCTGTATAATCAGAAATGTAATTTTCTAGTAACCATAATGTCTCCATTCATAGGTATTACTAAATAGATATCTTAGTCCATTTTCTGCTGCTGTAACATATCACAGACTGGGTAATTTATATAGAAAATTGATTCATGGTTTGCCTCATGGTTCTGGAGCCTGAGAAGTCGAAGACCAAGGGCCACATCTGGTAAGAGCTTTCTTACTGGGGCCACATCTGGTAAGAGCTTTCTTACTGCATCATAACATGGTAGAATACATTACATGATAAAAGAGGGGGAGAGAGGGCAAGAGCACTCAAGACAGAGGGAAAATGGGGGCCAAAATGTGGTATTACATGATGGTATACAATGAACTTTTTTCCTGCAACACACGTAATTTTAAAGTTGTTCTGTATTGTTCTCAATCAAGGCCAAAGTTAATTTACTAGGAAGGAGCTACAAGCCCTTCTGTAAACTCTATCAATAAATCTCACAGTCTTAATCCTCTAAAAATTTTAATAGATATACAGTACCATGTAGCTTAAAAGCATAATATAAATCACTGTAAGAAAGGCTACCAAAATATTTTCATGAATACTCTAACAGCTACTTATGAAGGGATTAAAATATTTCCTTCTCCCTCAGTGTGAGTTCATGTATCCTACATTCTATCCCTGCAAATGTTTTCACATGATTAGCAGCATGCTTTTCTCAAAGTGATAATAAGCCTTAAAAAAATGAAGGAAGGCAGTAAGTTAGAGTTGACTTCCAAGTCAGATAAAAATGAGTCAATACTTGTATTCTCTTGAATAAAATTTTAACTCTCTAATTCCTTAAAATTTGTTTATGTTAATATATGTAAAGAAAAATTTTAACACACAAAATAAGATAAATAAAATACCATGCACAGCACACCATTTGCCCCTCAGTTTAAGAAGTAGAATATTATCAATAATGGTGACGTCCCTGTGTAACCATTCCTATGAATTCCATCCTTACCAGTTTCCCACTTCCCAAAAGAAACCTTCATTTCATTATGTACCCAGTAGTCCTTCAGGAGCAGGTTGTTCAGTTTCCATGTAGGTGAGCAGTTTTGAGTGAGTTTCTTAATTCTGAGTTCTAGCTTGATTGCACTGTCGTCTGAGAGACAGTTTGTTATAATTTCTGTTCTTTTACATTTGCTCTTTTTTTTTTCTTTTTCATGTTCTCTCAATATCTCCAACATTCTTATTGCAATTTTACAATTTCAGGCATTACTTTTTGAGTTTTCAGTGTGGAGAATGAAGAATTTGCCTTATTTCTTAGAAACACTGCAAAATCTAACACATAGATATTTTTAGTCCCCCTATCTTCCCTCTTTAGATAGATTATGGATTTGAGTAAATCTATAGTAAATATATTACTTTTTGCTGTGTAACAACAACATTAATCTTTAGTGGCTTAAAATACAACCATTTATGTAGACCTGGGATCAGCAATCTACTACCAATGAGCCAAATCCGGTCCATTGCCTGTTTTGGTACAATCCACTAGATTAGAATACTTTTTACATTTTTTAATGTTGAAAAAAAGAGAATATTTTATGACATGATTCTCATCCCATCATAGTGCTGTTTGGTGCATTACAAACTATAGTGATGCAGTAATAATTTGGCGGCATTTGAGTGCCATGAATGTTGTCATAATGTAACATTATTATCATTTTTAACTTCACTGCATGTCTATCATGCCAAAACAAGAAAAAACGACTTTGTTGCACTTTTAAGGCAGAGTGGAGTGTGATATTTTGATAATGGATTAGATGTCAAAAAAGTGTTTATTATGCAATGAGACTGTAACTGTGCTAAAAGAAATAATAAATGTGAATATTACCAGAGTAAGCACTCATCACAATATTCTCAACAGGAGAGCAATCATCGAAAAATTACAAAATTTAAAATCCTTCAAGACAACAGATTTCTTACACACGTGCACACACACACACACACACACAAACACACATGCACACTACAACTAAAATTAAATTTCCGAGTGGATCATTTGTTAGTCAAGTCAGAAATGCCATTTACCAATGGTGAGTTTTAAAAGTTGTGCTTAATTAAAGCAGCCAGGTAAATGTTCTCCTGAGGGGGAAGAAAGGAGCTTGTTTGGAATAGCTTTTTGTGAGAACAGGGGCTTGATGAGATTGACGGCATCGGTTGCAAAATCAATAGTAAATTAAAAAACAAAGTAAATGATTTTTGAGTAGTTTTCTTGGCTCTTCATGAGTCAGATGATTTGTTGAATTATTTATTTCAGGAATCAATGCCAAGTTTGAAGTTATTCAAACTTAGGCTCTATGAATAGTCTGCATGGAACAACTATAGGTAGGAAACTTTTCAAAAAAGGTGAGAAACACTAATTCAGTACAACCTGGCTTGGAATCTGCTAAGATGTGTTAACAATTGACAATAGTAAAAATATGTGTGGAATGAAAGAAGGCTTACTTGAACAAATATCTAAAATTTGTGAAAAAGTAAATTATTTAAAACTCATAGTTACTCATCAGGAAGTGTTTTGAAGAAAATATCTGAATTCACCATGTATTACTGAATGAATACTGCTAAGAGTGAACTTCTTTTGTTTGTGCTGACTAGGCCATTGTCAGTTCTATTAATTTCTGTCTGAAACTGAAGCTCAATATCCTGACTTGCCATCCTATACAGCAGTCCAATGGCTTAGCAGTAGTAAAGAGTTGCTGTGATTGTTTTTGAGCTCAGGGCTTTGACTGAAAGTTTTTCTGAATAAGAAGAACCACTCAATCATAATTACCAAACAATGAATAGCTTAAGACATTAGCTTTTGTTTCAAGCTAGATAATGTTTCTTAATAAATTAAATTAAAAATTACAATGCACAATAGCACTTATCTGCAGCAAGACTTATACTATGGGGTAGTCATTTGAACTATAATCAACATTGTTTGAATCACAAAGTCTAGCTCCTTTATACACTTCCTGTGCAACAACAGCTTAAAAAAAAAGTAAGACTTCTATTCCACACAAATTTATGAACTCAAACTACAGTTCCAGAAGTTCCAGACATGGATGCAAGTGCAAAGGAAGCTTCTGTATTTCCAAATCCACTTATGCATTTGAGAAACTTTCATCTAACTTTCAACTGGAAGTAATTAATCTGCACTGCAATGACATGCTAAAAGGAAAATATTAAGAGAACCTAGAATTCTATAAATGCCTCCCAAGTGATGACTGTACTCAATCAAAATTATATATTCATTTATTACTATAAATATTTAGCATACTTGTCTGTGTGAAAAGACATTTTAAAGATTAAATATGTAGAATCTCTCATTACAGATCAGCATTAACAACCAACTAACAAACATTTGTGACCAATTTTCATGATAGGTATAACTAGCTTTAAATAACAAGCAGATGCTATTACCCCAAAGAGAATTCTCCTCTTTTCATTAGATCTATATTAAAAATTGTAATCCATTATACTTTTAATTTCAATAAAAATTGTTAACTTTTTTCTCATTATATAAGCACCTATATAATATTCTCAATTAAGCCTCTTAGCCCATAAAGCCTTCTGTCTTGACCTTTGCAGAAAAAGTCTGCCAATCCCTGATTTAGGTCATCATTCTGCAAGGTGGCAATCTGGGAGGGGTTCAGCTGTGCGGTTCTTTTTTGTCTTGGCTGGGCTCTTTCATGTATCTGCAATCAGCCGCTCAATCTAACGTAGCTGGCTACTATTAGAATGGCTTCAGATAGGAGTGCTTGTCTCTTCCTTCTGTGGTCTCCCATTCTCCAATAGACTAGTTTAAGATTTTTCACATGGAAGCTGAAGAGGGTTTCAAAACAGTGTGAAAGCATTTAAGGCCACTTAAGACATGATCTCAGAAATGAAACAATGGGCCGGGCGTGGTGGCTCATGCCTGTAATCCCAGAACTTTGGGAGGATGAAGCGGGCTGATCACTTGAGGGCAGGAGTTCGAGACCAGCCTGGCCAACAGGGCAAAACCCCATCTCTACTAAAAATTCAAAAATTAGCCGGGCATGATGGCAGACGCCTGTAATCCCAGCTACTCAGGGAGGCTGAGGTACGAGAATTGCTTGAACCCGGGAGGCGGAGGTTGTAGTGAGCTGAGATTGCACCACTGCACTCCAGTCTGGGTGACAGATCAAGACCCCATTTCAAAAAAAAAGAGAGAGAAAATAAACAAAACAATGTCACTTCAGCTATATTATATTGGCCTGAGTAAATAATTATTATGAGTTAATGCCCAAATTCTCTCCTAGTTGTATATATCTTCTCAATATGCTTAAAGATATGAAACATTCTGTTTGTCTTCTTGGAGATACAACTTCCTTGACCTATCTCCAAACTGGACTGGTTGTTCTCTGGGTCTGTTAAATAAATGTCCATTCTGAGATCTCCCTCAGTCCTATTCTTGAGGGTTCCCTATATATTCCTTGAATTGAATCTCCCAGCTTTCTAGATCCCAGTGGATTATTTCTTCTTGGTTTACCCTTTGCTGTGGTAGAGTACCTCCTCCAGGAGATTCCTGAAAACATATGAGAGGTAAAAGTTTCGATATCTAGTTTCTCTGTAAAATGTCTTTATTGTACCTTCACACACAATTGATAGTTTGTTCATATATAGGTATTTAGGTTGAAATATTTTGCGGAATTTCATAGGTTATTGAGAAGCCTAATTATATTCTGAGTCTTCATAATTTGCACATTGTTTTTTCCCTCTGAGGGAACTTTTATGTATCTTGGCTCTGTTCCTCAAAAATTTCATGATGAACCTAGTTACAGGTCTATCTAGAAACTCATGTCTTACAATCTAGAAATTCATGTTCTTTAATTCCAGATTTACTTTCATGAGATAGTAACATAGTATTAGGATTTCCTGCACTGTATTTTTTTCTTCAAAATTATGTGAAGAACTTCTTGAATTGATTGTCTAATTTTCTGATCTTTTCATTTCTATTTTTCATTTCTTTCGACTTTTACACTCTTTTCCCATCCTCTGGTAACCATCCTTCCACTATCTATTTCCATGGGTTCAATTGTTTTGATTTTTAGATCTCACAAATGAGTGAGAATATGTAATGTATGTCTTTCTGTGCCTGGCTTATTTCACTTCACATTAGGAACTCCAGTTCCATTCATGTTGTTGCAAAGGATGACATAATTCATTTCTATGGCTGAATAGTACTTGTTGTGTATAAGTAACACATTTTTTTAACCTATTCATCTATTGATGAACACTTAAGTTGCTTCCAAATCTTGGCTATTGTAAACAGTGCTGCAACAAACAGAGGAGTGCAAGTATTTCACTGATACACTAATTTTCTTTCTTTTAGGTATATATCCAGGAGTGGGATGGCTGGATCCTATGGTAGTTCTATTTTTGATTTTTGAGGAACCTCCAAACCCTTCTCCACAGTGGCTGTACTAATTTACATTCCCACCAACAGTGTATGAGGGTTCCCCTTTCTCCACATCCTTGCCAGGCATTTGTTCTTGCATGTCTTCTGGATACAAGCCATTTTAACTGGGGTGAGATTATATCTCACTGCAGTTTTTATCTGCAATTTTCTGATGATCAATGATGTTGAACATCTTTTCATATGTGTTTTTGTCATTTGTATGTCTTCTTTTGAGAAATGTCTTTTCAAATATTTTCTCTATTTTTTAACTGGATTATTAGATTGTTTCCTATAGGGTTGTTTGAACTCCTTATATATTCTGGTTATTAATCTCTTGTCAGATGGGTTGTTTGCAAATATTTTCTCTCATTCTGTGGGTTGTCTCTTCATTTTGTTGATTGTTTCCTTTGCCATACAGAAGCTTTTTAACTTGATGTGATCCCATTTGTCCATTTTTGTTTTGGTTGCTTGTGCTTGTAGGGTAATACTCAAGAAATCTTTGCCCAGTTCAATGTTTTGGAGAGCTTTCCTAATGTTTTCTTGAAGTGGTTTCATAGTTTGAGGTCTTAGATTTAAGTCTTTAATCCATTTTGACTTCTGTATACGGCAAGAGATGGGGGTCTAGTTTACTTCTTCTGTATACAGCTATCCAGTTTTCCCAGCACAATTTACTGAAGAGACTGTCTTTTCCTCAGTATATGTTCCTGGCACCTTTGTCAAAAATGAGTTCACTGTGGGTGTGTGGCTTTGTTTCTGGGTTCTCTATTCTGTTCCATTGGTCTGTGTGTCTGATTTTATGCCAGTACCATGCTGCTTTGGTTACTATAGCTCTGGAATACAATTTGAAATCAGGTAATGTGATTTCTCCAATTTTTGTTCTTTTTGCTTAGGATAGCTTTGGCTATTCTGAGACTTTTGTGATTCCATATAAATTACAGGATTTTTTTTTCTATTTCTGTGAAGAATGTCATTTGTACTTTGATAGAGATTATATTAAATCCACAGATTGCTTTGGGAAATATGGACATTTTAACAATATTTATTATTTCAATCCATGGATGCAGAATATCTTTCCATTTTTTGGTGTCCTCTTCAATTTCTTTCATCAGTGTTTTATAGTTTTTATTGTGGAGCTCTTTCACTTGTTTGGTTAGGTTAATTCCCAAACATTTAGTTTCATTTGTACCTACTGTAAATGGTATTACTTTCTTGTTTTCTTTTTCAGATTGTTCATTTAGCATATAGAAATGCTACTGACTTTTGTATGTTGATTTTGTATGCTGCAACTTTATTGAATTTTGAAATCGGTTCTAATAGTTTTTTCAGTAGAATCTTTAGGTTTTTTCCAAATATAAAATCATCTGCAAAAAAAATAATTATAATTTGACTTCTCCCTTTCCAGTTTGGATGCCTTTTATTCTTTTTCTTGTCTGACTACTCTAGCTAGGGCTTCCAGTACTACGATGAATAAGAGTGATGACAGTGGCATCCCTGTTGTGTTCCAGATCTAAGAGTATAGGCTTTCAGTTTTTCCCCATTCAGTATGATACCCACTGAGGGTCTGTCATATATAACTTTTATTATATTGAAGTATGTTCCTACTATACCCAGTTTTTTAAGGGTTTTTATCATGAAGAAATGGTGAATTTCATCAAATGCTTTTTCAACATCGATTGAAATGATCAAATGGTTTTTGTCCTCCATTTGGTCAATATTTTGTATTACATTAATTCACTTGCATTTGTTAACCGTCCTTGCATCCCAAAGGTTAATCTCACTTGGTCATGATGAATAATCATTTAATATACTGCTGAATTTGGTTTGCTAATATTTTGTTTAGGATTTTTGCATCAATATTTAACAGATATTGGCTTGTAGTTTTCTTTCTTTTGGTGTCTTTGTTTGGTTTTGATATTGGGTAATACTGGCCTCATAGAATGAGTTAGGAAGTAATCCATCCTCATCTATTAATTGGAATAGTTTGAGAAGGATTGGTATTAGTTCTGATTTAAATGTTTGGTGAAATTCAGCAGTGAAGCCATCAGGTTTCCAGGCTTTTCTTTACTGAGAGACTTTTTCTTACAGCTTTAATCTCCTTATTTCTTATTCATCTGTTCAGGCTTTAAATTTCTTCATGATTCCATCTTGGTAGGTTGCATGTAACTACAAATTTGTCAATTTCTTCTACATTTTCTGATTTATAGGCAAATAGTTGCTCCTAGTAGCCAGTAGGAGATACTAGATGTAGTATAGATACTAGATGAGATACCAGATGTAGTGTCTCCTTTTTCATCTCTGATTTTATTTGGATCATCTCTTTGTTTCTTAGTCTGGCAAAAGATTTGTCTATTTTGTTTAACTTTTCAAAAAACTCAACTTTTTTGTTTCATTGATCTTTGGTATTGTTTTCTTCATGTCAGTTTCATTGATTTCTGCTCTGATCTTTATTATTTCTTTTCTTTCACTAATTTTGAGTTTGGTTTGCTCCCCCTTTTCTAGTTAAGATGCATTGTTGTTTATTTGAAATTTTTCTTTTTTGATGTAGGCACTTATAGCTATCAACTACACTCTTAGTACTGCTTTTGCTGTATCACATAGGTTTTGGTATGTTGCGTTTCCATAATATGCTTCAATTTCCTTCTGAAATTTCTTCATTGACACACTGATCATTGAGGAGCATACTGTTTCCTTTTCATGTATATGTGTAGTTTCCAAAATTCCTCTTGTTATTGATTTCTAGTTTTATTCCATTCTGGTCAGAGAAGATGCTTGATATTATTCAAATTGTTAAAAATGTTTTAAAACTTATTTTGTACTTTTTAAATATGGTCTATCCTTGAGAATGATCTATGTGCTGAGGAGAAGAATGTGAATTCTGTAACCTTTGAATAAAATGCTCTCTAAATACCTATTAGATCCATTTGCTTTATAGTATAGATTAACTCCAGTGTTGATTTGTTGATTTCCTTGTGGAAGATGTGTCCAATACTGAAGGTGAGCTATTGACGTCTTCAGCTACTATTTTACTGGAGTCTCTCTCTCTCTCTCTTTAGCTCTAATATTTGCTTTATATACCTGGGTGCTCCAGTGCTGCATGAATATATACTTAAAACTGTTATATCCTTTTGCTTAATTGATTCCTTTTTCCTTATATAGTGACCTTTGTCTCTTCTTATAATTTTGTCTTGAAATCCATTTTGTCTAAGCATAGCTACTCCTGCTCATTTTTGGTTTCCACTGGCATGGAATATCTTTTTCCATCCCTTTTTCTTCAGTCTATGTGTGACTTTATACATAAAGTGTGTTTCTTATAGGCAACAGATCAAGGGGTCTTTTTTAAAATACCTTCAGCCAGTTTACAGCTTTTGATTGGAGAGTTTAGTCCATTTATATTAAATGTCATTACTGATAAGAAGGGCATACTCTGGCCTTTCTTTGTGTGTGGTTGTTTTGTAGTCTCCTCTTCTTGCTATCTTAGTACCCGTTATTTTAAGCTCATAACAACTTAAAATTGTTTGCACAAATAAGCAATCAAGGAAAAAGAAAATACTTTGCCTTAACTTCATCCCCACAGTTTTTAGCTTTTTGTTATTATAACTTACTGTATTGTCTTGAAAACTTCTTGTAGTCATTATTTTTGATTGGTTCATTGTTTATTCTTTCTCCTTAGGATAAAAGTTTACACACCAAAGTTACAGTGTTACAATACTCTGTATTTTTCTGTGTACTTACTATTACCAGAGAGTTTTGCACATTCAGATGATTTCTTATTGCTCATAAAGGTCATTTTCTTTCTGACTGAAGTACTCCCTTTAGCATTTCTTATAGAGGACAGGTCCTGTGTTGATAAAATCCCATAGCTTTTGTCTGAGAAAGCATTTATTCCTCCTTCATGACTGAAGGATAATTTTGCTGAATGTACTATTCTAGGGTAAAAGTTTATTTCCTTCAGCACTTTAAATATGCCATGCAACACTCTCCTGGCCTGTAAAGTTTCCACTGAAAAATCTGCTGCCAGACATATTGGAGCTCCATTATATGTTATTTGCTTATTCTCGCTTGCTGCTTTTAGGATGCTTTCTTTATCCTTGATCTTTGGGAATTGGATTATTAAATGCCTTGAGGTGTAGTCTTCTTTGGATTAAATGTGGTTAGTGTTCTATAAACTTTTTGGGCTTGGATACTGATATCTTTCTCTAGGTTTGGGAATTTCTGTTATTATACCTTTGAATAAACTTTCTATCCCCATCTCTTTCTCTATCTCCTCTTTAGGGCCAATAACTCTTAGGTTTGCCCCTTTGAGGCTATTTTCTAAATCCTGGAGGCATACTTCATTGTTTTTTATTCTTTTGTCTCCTTTGTGTATAGCCTGTTTTCAAGCTCAGTAATTCTTTCTTCTGTTTGATCAATTCTGCTATTAAATAGCCTGTCTTCAAGTGCAGTAATTCTTTTTTTCTTTGTCAGTTCTGCTACTAAAAGGCTCTGATGCATTCTTCAGTATGCCAATTGCATTTTCAATTCAGAGTTTCTGCTTGATTGTTTTTAACTATTTCAATCTCTTTGTTAAATTTACCTGATAGAATTCTGAATTCCTTCTCTGTGTTATCTTGAATTTGAGTTTCCTCAAAACAGCCATTTTGAATTCCCTGTCTGAAAGGTCATATATCTCTGTATCTCCAGAATTGGTCTCTGGTGTCTTATTTAGTTTATTTGGGGAGGTCATGTTTTCCTGGGTTATCTTGATACTTGCAGATGTTTGTCTGTGTCTAGGCATTGAAGAGTTAGGTATTTATTTTATTCTTTGCAGTCTGGGCTTTTTTGTATCCATCCTTCTGGGGAAGGCTTTCCAAATATTTGAAAGGAACTTGGATGTTATAATCTAAGCTGGAACTTCTTTAGCGGAGACCCTTACTGAATGCTGTGGTTCTTGTAGACTCATAGAGGTACAGCCTTGATGGTTTTGGACAAGATCCAGAAGAATTCTCCAAACTACAAGGCAGAGATTCTTGTTCTCATTCCTTAGTTTCTCCCAAACAAATGAAGTTTTTCTCTCTATTCTGAGCCAACTAGAGCTGGGGCCACCACCCCTAGGACTGTGCTGGGTCAGACCTGAAGCCAGCACAGCATTAAGTCTCACCCAAGGCCTGGCTACCACTTCGGTTTGCTCAAAGCCCTGGGGCTCTACAATTAGGAGGTGGCAAGGCAGGCCAAGCCTATGTCCTTCCCTTCAGGGCAGTGAGTTCCCTTAGGCCTCAGGCAGGTCCAGAGGTGTGCTGTCCAGGAGCCAAAGACTAGAGTCAAAAACTGTAGACATCTACCTGGTGTTCCATTACACTATGGCTGAGCTGGAACTCAAACCCCAAGGTACAATCCTTCCCACTCTTCCCTCCCCTTTCCAAAGGTAGAGGAGCCTCACCCAATGGCTACTGCACCTCAGGCCTATGTGAAGTACTGCAGACCTACAGAAAGTAATGTCAGATTACTGCTCATGAGCCCTTAAGGCCCAAGGGCTCTTCCATTAGCTTGTAGCATATGCTGCCTGGGCTGGGACTCACCCTTCAGGAAAATGAACTCCTCCTCTGGCCCAGGGCTGTTCCAGAAATGTCATCCAAGAGCCAAGTCCTAGAACTGAGGACCCTAGGGGTCTACTTGGTGCTCTACCCCACTGAGACCGAGCTAGTATCTGAGGTGCCAAAGTCCCCTTTACTTTTCCCTCTACCGTTCTCTAGCAGGAGTCTCATCCTTTAGCCACCACAGCTGGGAATGTACTGAGCCTCATCTGAAGCCAGCAAGTCTCAGAGGCTCACCCAAGGCCCTTGATATAGTAACTGGGTATTGCTGCTGGTTATTCAGGGCCCAAAGGCTCTTGAGTTGACAGGGAATAAATCCTGTCAGGACTGGGTCCTTCCTTTCAAGGCAGCAGGTTCCCTTCTGGCCTAAGATATGTCTAGAAATGTCGCCCAGGAGCTAGGGCCTGGAAAGGAGGCCTCGTGACTCTGACCAATGCTCTATCCTGCTGTGGCTGAGCTAGTATCCAAGATGCAAGACAAAGTCCTCCCTACTGTTACATCTCCTCTCCTTAAGTGGAAGGAAGGGGTCTCTTTTGGAGCTGGGAGCTGTACAACCTGGGGCTGGGGATGGGTGATGCCACACTACCTCAGCCATCCTGGCTAATGTCTCAGTAGGTTGCATGCACCGCCATTCCACTGGCTTTTGGCCTGGTTCTGTGCTAAGACTCACCTAGATATTGCAGTCCTTGTGGCCTAGACTTCTGCATTCATTTTGGGCCCCAGAGCACTTTAGCCCATGGTGGTAAGGCTTGGGGGAACTCAAGTTCCTACTGACTGCTAGGATCAGTGATTCCCCTCTGGCTAAGGCTGATTTAAATGCTCACTCAGTGGGCAGGAGTCAGGTAAGTTTGGTCTGGTTTTGCTTTCTGGTATAACAAGGGCAGCACTGAATCAATGCCTCCCAATTGCTGGTTCTCCTCCCCAGGGCAGAGAGACACTCTCTGGATGGGGAGGGGTGGTGTCAGAGATTTAAGAGTGTTTTGCCTACATCTTCAGTGTCTCTGTCAGCAATATAAAGTAAAAATCAAGTATTTGGCTCACTTGCTTCTTGGTTTTTATGAAGGTGCTTTTTCTGTGTAGAAGTTAAACTGGTGTCCGGGCAGGAAGGATGGTCAGTGAAGCCTTCTATTCCACCATCTTGCTATACTTCTTCAAAAAAAAGTTTTTTGTTCATTTATTGTTATTCTGACCAGGATTACCCCAAAATGGTCAATTTTTATTATTACCCCCAGAGACAGACATGCTGAATTATATTTATCAGAAGCAAATGTTGTCAGTCACCAAAATGTCAAGTCTTAGAGACATGTTTGGTTTCATATCCTATTTCCAGTCACCAGGTTCAGTCTTCCCCTTAAAGTGTTTATCTGTCCTTTCTTCACCTTTTCAACTGCCATCATGTGGGCTATGCTGCCCTCTTCATGCATGTCAAGTATTCCAGCAACTTCTAAAGAGTATTCTTATGTTTAGACTTTTTCTTGCTTCTGTGCATCACATTTAAGGCTGTCCAGTTCATCTTCCATAAAAAATATTTAGCTCTTGTCCTTTTTGTGCCAGTGGAGCCTCTGGTAGCATTCCATTTGTGATAATATTAAATCCGAATTTGTCTCTTTGACTTCAATGTTCTCATAATTGGCTCATGTATATTAATTCCATCTCTGTTTTATAATACTGTCCCAAAAAACATTTCGATTTGTCAAACTGATATCCACCAAACACTGTGCTCATTTCCATCTCTGTGTTTTCAACTGCCTCAACATATTGTACTTTGTAATATTTCACTCGATCTCAAATTGGAACAATTTATAAATTTGACATATTTCTGTAGTTCACTGTAATATCTTTGAAAACAATGAGAAAGTCTCATTCATACTTGTAACTTCTGTAGAAGCTACCATGTTTTCATGTATATAGTAAATACTCATGTCATGTATATAGGAAATACTGCAGTTTCCCGGACATGCCATGCTCTCTGAGCTTGGAATGATTTCTCTTCATCCTTCTCCTCTGTTTAATAAGCCTACTTCTCCTTCTTCCTGATTCAGTTTAAGTATCATCATCTCTAGGAGCCTTTCCTGAAATGCTCCAGGCTTTCTACATCACAATGTGGGTAGATCTAGTACTCCTCAAATGTGCTCATAGAATATCTTATATTTTATCACTCTCAAAGCACTCTGTAGCTCAAAATTATAATAATCAGTTTACTTGTCTATCTTACCAACTGGATATCCCTTTGAAACCACAGACTATATTTATGACATAGCATAGTCTTTATGACTAGAATACTACGATAGTATCTGGTACAAACTGCAGATGCACAGTTCATCATAATGAACATGTGGATTTGTTTCCCCAATTCAAAGAAAATCTACTTAACAGTAGAGACTACATATTACATTTCTTGTGTCTCCCAGAGCAACTTATTCTATGGGTACACACTAGATTATAGCTTCTTACAACTGTCTTAGTTTATGGCTCTCTTGCTGTCTCAGTAATTTTTTTCATGCTCCTACTAGGCCAAAAGAAATACCTAGTTGTTCCATATATTAATTAGGTAGGTGATAACTTAGCCATTTGAAAAGATAATATATAAAAATTGAAAGGAAACTATTTTTATTTCATCCTTAACTATAGTTCCCTACTCATGAGAATTTTGTACATATTAGGCATTGCACAACTTCTTAACCCTTGGAATAAGATGGGATAATAACACTCTCATGTTCTGTTCCACAATGGTTTTTGCATAGTATTTGCTTTTTATCTCAGTAACATCCAAAATGCCAGCTTCACAAAGATACAATAAAAGACAAAGAAATGTAACATAAACAAATATCGACAAGCTGGTAGTTCATCTGGTTTCAAGAACTCAAGTATTGCTGCATTACCTTCTGATTAAAAAAAAAAAACTTGCAGCATCCTTATGAATTCGTTGCAGCACCCTCTCTTGATACACAGTTTGGAAAACTACAGCATTTTGGTAATCATCAGTAACCATCTGTTTACCTGCTGCTTATTATGCATGGCACTATGTTAGATGTGAAAATTACATCAGTAAATAACATGGTAATAATAATAGTAGTAAGCAACAACGGTGGCCATCCTAGCAAGAACAACACATACTATGTTCCAGGCACTGTGCTAAGTAAATGAAATGAATTTATGCTGCCTTATTAGCAATTTAGTGGTACTGAAGATTCTGTGACCCAACAAAGATGTGTGTGAAAGACATAGAGCTAAATGAAATAGAATATAAAAAGGATTAAAATAAAAATATAAAAGTCATGCTTTACGTTTTTAGGTTAAAAGTTAACAAAATGGTCAGGTATATTATCATTCGATCCTCAGGATGATTTTGAGAGGCATGTATACCCTGAAATTTAGAAAACTTAGGCTACTTAACCAAAGTTATAAGCTTATAAAACAACAATATAAGTATTTTAAATGTATTGTAAAAGGATTTTACTGTAATTATTTCAGAAAAAAGAACTTTTTAGAATTAAATTATAAAAATGATAGATTTTTGAAATATTAGTAATTGGGTGCAAATCTGTGAAGTAGGAATTTGCCCTGCACCTATAATAATACAGGAATAGAAACAGATATCCATAGTGTAGAAAGGACAGTAGAGATTATATTCTCTAATACACACATTCTTCAACCTTCCACCCAATTCATCTTATCAATCCTGGATAAAACGATGCACATTTTGCTAGATCAACTGTGATTTCATAGTTTCAGTTTGTACAGTCATAGACCATATGATGATATTTTTGTCAATGAGGGACTGTGTATGCAACATTGGTCTCTTAAGATTATAACAGGTATTTTTACTGTTCTTTTTTTTTGTTTAGATACACACTTACCATTGTGTTACAACTGCCTATAGTACTCAGCACAGTAACATGCTGTATGGGTTTGTAGCCTAGGAGCAACAGACTATACCTAAATAACCTAAGTGTGTGGTAGGCTGTACCACCTAGGTTTCTAGAAGTACACTCTATGAGATTTGCATTACAAAATCTCCCAATGATGCATTTCTCAGAATGTATCCCCATGGTTAAGAGACCAAAAGACAGCAGTGAGCTAAAAATTTTCACCTACTTCTTCTATCTGTCCCTCTCCAGCTAAGTTAAAAAATATATATATACACACACACACACACATACAGATATATTTATATCTATATATAATATCCCTTTGATATTTTTACATGTGTATATATAGTATGCAAATATGTGAAGAATGTGGCTTTATCTTTTTTTCTTTTCAAGGCTAAACGCTTCAGTTCCTTCAATAGTATTTGACAAGGTTTCCTGCTTTGTCACAATACCACCTAACATTTGCATGATAGTTATGGTTTCTAAGCTTTTTCACCAATCTATTATCTTTCTTTTTTGTCTCGTTTCTAAGGGCCTCACAATAACTATGCAAAGCAGGTATTATTAATCCCATTTAGACATCTGAAAGTGGGCCTCATACATTTTTAAAACTTGGTCAAAATTACATGAGTCACAAGCTAGGACTCAAATCTAACCCTCTTTACTCCTTAGCACATTCATTTGACAATCAGTTAAAATTCTTTTGATCACAAGTAACAGAAAATTCAGCACAAATTGACTTGAGGGGAAAAAAAGCAGTTACAGTCTCATATGAGAGAACGTAAACGAACTTCAGAGTGGGCTCCATCTAGTACGCAAACAATGTGATCAGGAGGCAAACTTCTTCAGTTCTTAGCTCTGCCAATGATGTTGCTTCTATTTTCTCAAAAGCTCTACATATATGGTCCCAAGACAATTACTAACAGCTTTAAAGATTTCCTCATTTTCTTACTGTGAACAACAGAGTTTATATACCTGAGGAGGCAAGTCCTCAAATTGAGTCTGAAGAGCTTGGCTCAAATTATGTATGCATCCTTGGAACATGGGGATGGAAAATAATTATTAGCCTAGATCAACAAGTACCTATATGTAAATTAGAAAGTAGGTTAAATTTCCTCTAAACCACATCGCTAAAAAATAAACTATCACATTGGGAACAGAGGAATAGATGCTGAGGAGGTACAAATGAATGTCTAAGACATTCTCATTCTGATTTGGAAATGTGTCTTTTAAAACATGGTATCTTTTGAATCTACATGAATGGTATAGTTGAATGTAATGCTTCCGTTTGACCAGTGAGAGAGAGTGTACTACTTTACTATGACCTAAAAATTCTACTTGTATTCATGCAGCCATTCATCACTGTAGAGCAAATATATACTAGTCGTTCAAAGTAAACATTTTTCTGAAGCTGAAAGTAATTATCCTTGACCTCTCAGAGTATTTTCCAAGTTTTTCATTGAGTAACAATAATAAGAATCAGTTCAGTTTGGCATCCAACTGACAGTGTGATGAATACTTCTTTAAAAAGGGGATAATAACATCCGAAGCACTATTTTAAATAACTCTAATCTTGGTAAAATGTTCCAATTAAAAGCTACCAAAACTCTAAGAGCCAAATTGTGTTGTTGGAGACCCAGTTGATTTTTTAAAGATTAGTATGTCTCCTTAAAACAGTGCTGGTCCTATATATTATAATCTATTGCAGTTTGTTAATACTCAGCTCCTCCTTTCAAGGTGCTCATAATCTATTGGAGAAGACATAGAAACAGGTCTTTTTATAATAATATGGCTGAGCAGTGGTACAGTTATATACTGAATGCTCAAGAGGAGCACTTGATTTAATCTGCAGGGAGGAAATAAAAGTTTTATGGAGGGTAAAAATGAAGAATTATGAAATAAGAGTGGGTTTTGCCAGTCAGGAAGCAATGGGATTCTAGGCTGATGGTGCAGTATGAACCAAGGCCCAAGACCATAAAATAGCCCACTATGTGTACCAGCCACTTGGTTCTAAAAGCATGAAATGTGAAACAGAGCAGCAGCAGACGAGCTAGACAGGTAAAGACCAGGTCAATGAAAGATGTATATTTTATGCTAAGTAGTTTGAACTTTTATCTTATCTTTTATCTTATAGGCTACAGGGAGGCACTGGAAGAATTTAAAGTGGGAGAATG